>NC_000010.11:9403939-9555454 GCF_000001405.40 Homo sapiens | reverse complement strand
AGGGAAAAAGAAGCAATATCATCAATTAATGCTATAGATTTCAAGTAGGCAAAAACCATTTAGGAAAATTGGGATCAACCCATTGTCAGAACTTAGAGAAAAATAAAAAGGGGAAGTGCCATTTCACTTTTATAAATATAAAAATAAAATTACATATACTTTCAATATATACATATTACAGCCTTGCAACTTGATATACATGCATATAAGTATACCTACCTGTTTTTCAAAATATAATATAAACTCTAAAAAAGAAGTATCACTGGGCCATGTGTGGTGGCTCAGGCCTGTAATCCCAGGACTTTGGGAGGCCGAGGCAGGTGGATCACTTGAGGTCAGGAGTTCCAGACAAGCCTGGCCAACATGGTGAAACCCTGTCTCTACTAAAAATACAAAAAAAAAAAGAAAAAAAATCAGCGGACATGGTGGTGCATGCCTGTAATCACAGCTTTTCGGGAGGCTGAGGCAGGAGAATCGCTTGAACCCTGGAGGCTGAGATTGCAGTGAGCCAAGATCGCACAATTGCACTCCAGCCTGGGTGACAAAGTGAGACTCCCTCTTAAAAAGAAAAGGAAAAGAAAAAAGAAAAGAAAAGAAAAGAAATATTGCTGTTAATAAGAGATACTCTTAGGGAATGAGATACATTCTTTCTATATTGGAAATATTTTTATATAGTAAATATACAATAAAAATGTGTATAGACGTATTCAATAAACTTTAGCCTAAAGCTGTCTCCTTACCTATTTTAAGTTCAGCCTAAAGATTTCTCTGTACATAGTGAACTGTAACCTAAATGGAGGTGTAAACAGACTGTAGCCTATTCTTGTGCCAGTCACCAAGTTTTGGCCAATCAAAGGTGGCCAGCTGTTCAAGCTCTTTTCAAATGAGGCAAAAGCCAAGCTGCAAACAATCCAGTTGTTTCTGTGCCTCACTTTCGTTTTCTGTACATCACTTTTGTTTTTCTGTCCATAAATCTTCCACCACATGCTGTGCTGAAGTCTCTGAGGCTAATCTGGCTCAGGAGGCCACCCAATTCACAAGTTGTACTCTGTTCAATTAAACTCTTACATTTAATTCCACTAAAGTTTTCCTTTTAACAGATACTTAGGTGGATGATAGATGGATGAATGGGAAAAGAATGGGTGGATGAATGGGTAGAAATATAGACCCATAAATAGACAGATGCATATACCCACAGATAAATCTATAGACACAGAAATGCATCCATAAATCAATATTTCCTGCGGGAAATCTGGAGAAATATATATCAAAATGTTAAAAGTGATGGGAGGTAGGATGTTAGGATATTTCCATGAATTTTACTTTTACTTATGCTTAGCTGATATGTTTGATTTCCCCAGTGTGGCACCATGTTATCTATGCATTAAAATAATGACAATTTTTAAATATGAGTGTTTAATTGTTCCAGCAATAGTTGTTGAAGTCTGTATTTTTACCATTGAAGTGCTTTTGCAGCTTTGTCAAGTATCAGCTGAGTGCATTTGTGTGATCTATTTCTGGGCTTTCTACTTCATTTTATCAAACTGTGTCTCTGTCCCTTTGCCTGTATCATATTAGCTTGATAACATGAGACCTATCATTTTGTTCTTTTTCAAAACTATGCAGCTATCCAGATTACTATATTATCCAGATTATTATATTGTCCAGATTATATTATATTATCCAAATTATTAATTTTTTAATTTAAAAAATTAAAACCCTCTGTCATTTTGGTTGGGATTGGGTTGAATCTATATATCAGTTGAAGAGAATAGACATTAACCACATCGAGTCATCCAAATCATAAACATTAAACTTTGTCTTTAAGGAAATTTGCTCATTTCACCTGTTACAGAAGATACTGGTTTAAAGTTTTTTCTAATATTCCTTTATTAACTGTAAAAATGCCCCCTTTTCCTGATATTTGTAATTTGCACCCTATTTTTAAAAATTCTAACTGCGTGTTTATCATATTTACTGATTATTTCAATAAACCAGCTTTAGGTATCATTGATATTCCTTTCTATTTTTTATTTTATTTTATTTTATTTTATTTTATTTTATTTCATTTCATTTCATTTCATTTCATGTCATTTCATGTCATTTCATGTCATTTCATGTCATGTCATGTCATGTCATGTCATGTCATTTCATTTCATTATTTTGAGACGCAGTCTGGCTCTGTCGCCCAGGCTGGAGTGCAGTGGCAGGATCTCGGCTCACTGCAAGTTCTGCCTCTTGGGTTCACGCCATTCTCCTGCCTCAGCCTCCCAAGTAGCTGGGACTACAGGCGACTGCCACCACGCGCGGCTAATTTTTTGTATTTTTTAGTAGAGACGGGGTTTCACCGTGTTAGCCAGGATGGTCTCGATCTCCTGACCTTGCAGTCCGCCCGCCTCAGCCTCCCAAAGTGCTGGGATTACAGGCATGAGCCACCGCACCCAGCCCCTTTCTATTTGTTTTCTATTTCATTGCTTCTGCTTTTAATTTCCTCCTATTTAATTTAGGTTTATTTTTTCTTTTGTTCTTGTTTATTGAGGTAAAGACTTTGGGCATTTATTTGAGACTGTCTAGATAAGCATTTAAAGCTATACATTTTTTAGAAGCACAACTGAAACCACATACAACAAATTTTGATGTTTTTCATATTTACTTTTCTTAATTTAGAATTTTTTTCTCATTTTTTGTTATTTCTTTTTTGACTCTATGCTACTTTAAAAAGTAGTCTGTAACTTCCAAATATATGCCACTTTCCAGCCATTTTTCTAGTATCGATTTCTAAATGAATTATGTTGTTGGACAGATTTTGATGTGTATGAATTTAATCTTTTACCGTATATTAATGTGTGTTTCAATGCTAATTGTATGTTCTATCTCGGTAAACATTTCATGTGCACTTGAGATAAAAATATATTTTATACTACTGCTGGGTAAGTATTTCTCTAAATATCAAGGGAGTCCAGTTGTTTGTGTTCTCCAATTCTTCCATAATCTTGTTATTTATTTATTTTTGTCTACTTATTCTATCTATTACTGGACAGTGTTAAAATTGTACATGTAATTTTGAATTTGCCTATATTTCCTTGCAGGTTTTTCAGTTTTTAATTTATTTTGAAGATCTCTTATTGGTTGCATATACGTTTACAATTGTGATATGTTCTTGCTGAACTGATTTTTTATGTCTCTCTTTATCCTAGTACTGTTCCATTTAAATCTACTTTTCTGGTATTTCTTTTTCTTTGTTTTCTTTTTTTTTTTTTTTTTGAAACAGAGTTTCGCTCTTGTTGCTGAGGCTGGAGTGCAATGGCGTGATCTCGGCTCCCTGCAATGTCTGTCTCCCAGGTTCAGGTGATTCTCCTGCCTCAGCCTCCCAAGTACCTGGGATTACAGGTGCCTGCCACCACGCCTGGCTAATTTTTTTTTTTTTTTGTATTTTTAGTAGAGACAGGGTTTCACCATGTTGGCCAGGCTGGTCTTGAACTCCTGAACTCAGGTGATCCGCCCACCTCGACCTCCCAAAGTGCTGGGATTACAGGTGTGAGCCACCATGTCCGGCCAGCAATTCTAACTTTCTTAGGCTTAATGTGTATATGTACCTCACTCTTTCACTTTTAGCTTATTTAAATTTTAAGCTAACCGAGTTTTTTGTTGGAAGCATTTAGTTGGGACTTGATTTCTTAAAATTTATTCAGACCATTTCTGCATCTTAATGAGACTGTTTTTGCAATTTATGTTTAAACAGTATAATTAGATTTAAATTTACCATTTTTCAATTTCTTTTCCACTTTTCTATCTATTCTTTGCTGTTTTTCTACTCTTTTACTGCCTTCTTTTTTATTAACTAAGTAGTTTCATGATCCTGCTACATGTTTAATATTAGTTATTTAGCTAGACAGCTTCAACTTACAGCATTAGACTTTTAAATATTATCTCACTTTATGTATAATAGAAAATACCTGTAACAAAATACTTTCATTACTCCACTCTGACCCTTTCTACTATTTTGGTCATATATTTTACTTCTGTATATATTACATGCCAAAACATATCATATAATTTGCTTTGAAGTGTCAATTAGCTTTTAATTTTTAAAAGAAAAATATATTTTATATTTTATATAACAAAAAATATATTATATATTTTTCCTTCTCTTTATCTCTTTGTTTAGGTTCAAGTTTATTTCTGGTATCATTTTCTTTACACTTGAAGAAATTCTATTAATATATCTAGTCATTGTGGTTTGCTACTCAAACTTTTCTCAGCTTTTGTGTTGTCTTTTTTTTAACCTTACCATCAGCTTAGAAGTAAATTATTGCTAAATAAAGAATTCTAGCTCAATATGTCTATTTTCCTTTTAGTGCTTAAAAATTATGAATTCATTGTCTTTTGGCATGCATAATTTTTGATTAGAAGTCTGCAGTTGTGCTTACAATTTTTCCTACAATTTTCCCTCTGTACGTATTGTGACTATTTGCTCTCATTACGTTCAAGGCTATCATTTAGTTACTGGCTTTAAGCAAAATAATTATGATGAGCTTTGGTATATGCTGTTTGTGTCTGTATCTGTGTATGTTGTATATAACATGTTAGTGTTTGTTGTTCCTGGAAATATGAATTTGTCATTTTCATCAATATTGGAAGATTTCTGCATATTTTTCCCTCAGAATTGTTCGTGCCCTCCCCCTTGTCTCTTTCTGAGAATCTATTTTTACATATGTTAGAGTGTTTGATATTACCCTGAAATTTTTTTCTTTGCCTTTTTATCTGTTTGCTTAATGTTTAAGCCTAAAAATCTTCAAGTTCGCTGATCTTTTTTTTACTTTGTTTATTTTCTCTCAGAAATCACAGTCCTGCACTGCTTGTTGTTCAATATCTGAAAGCCATTGTATCTATTTTACTGTTTCTACTTGTGTTTTGTGGGAGGATGGTGTGTGGTCCTTGTTATTCCACCTTGTCTAGACATATAAATTTGTAAGACTTCTAAGTTATATTTTCTATATGATTGTTATATATTTGGAGCCCGATGGGTATATGTTTTATATAGTGTTTTATCTAATGATAGTTATATTTAGAGTGTTATCTACTTAAGAATTTACTCTAGTAATATTACCAGTGCATTCATATGTGAGGTAAACTGTCTTTATTTAGAAACATATATTAAGTATACATCTACTCATAAAAATGAGGCCCTCGTGATTAGGCAGGGAGCGCAGGATAAATAGGAAGAGCACATATTTTAAGGCAGTGAAACAACTTCATATGCCACTGTAATGGTAGATACATGTCATGATATTTGTCCAAACCCACAGAATGTACAACACTATGAGTAAGCCCTAATGTAAACTATGGATTTGAGATGATTATATTAATGTGATTTTACCAATTGTAATAAAAGTACCACCTGGTGGGAGATGTAAATAGTGGAGAAGGCTATGCATGTGTTGGAGCAGGAGGTATATGGAAAATATCTGTGCCTTCTGTTCAATTTTGCTGTGAATCTGAAACTGCTCTGAAAAAATAAAGCCCATTAATAAATCAGACCCTCTGCTCTTGATTTTCAAGAAGCAACTCTGCATTGGAAGTTAACAGTTGAGCAGAAAAGTTGAATGGGGATGAGGTCACATGAAACATGTGTTGGAGAAATGTCCCACAGAGATAGAAAAATGGAATATTTGTAGTGGTGGTTCTGGTCCAGGAAGCTTTAAAATGGACATGCCTAACAATCCATTGTAAGTGGTTTGCTGAGTGATATCATACTGAAGCTTCTCTTTGTCTCTTCAAACCTACTGTATAAAACATACAGTTGTCTAGTGTGAGCAACAAATTCTTCATTATTGAGCAAAATGCTCTATGTTCCTCATCAACATTAACACAGAAAGTGGTACAAATCATAATCATCAGGCAGAAGATAGGTGCAAGGTGTATCAAAGCAGTAGAGCAAGAAATAACCATGGAATTTTAAGTCCTCGGGAATTCACTGAAATCCTGCGTAAGGCATTCAACTTATCTAACAAATTTAAATCCCAAAGAACATATTGACTTCAAATTACATCAGAAGTAGTTAAACTCTGCTTAACAGTATTTGTTTTTGACAGCTAAAGTTTCCACTTTATACTTTTCTTGTAGATTTTTCTCATTTTTATTTGCGGATTTTATGATTTTATGTCTACATCTTGAGTGCTCTTATTTGCTTGCTTACACATAGTTCTTTCTCTTTTGGTTATGGAAAGGGAAAATTAAAATTTAGTAATATTCAAGATGTGTATATCTATGCCCAAATGAGAATTTTTCACTCCTTATAAGATGATAGAACTTTAAATTTTAAGTTTATAATAAATTTTCATAGCTTTTCCATTTATATATAGAATAATTGTCTTTGTGCGTTGGTTTATTCTTCTGTAAAATAAATAAAACTTTCATCACTTTTAGAAATAGATGTTTTATTAAAACATCATATATTTAAATATGCTTGTAGAACACTAGTCTCCTAAACTGATTGTTAATATACTTGGGAAGTGCTACTTACTATATGTTTTTCTAGAAGATTTACAGTGAACATTGGTACATTAAATACATGTGACAGTAATTGTGAATTAATACAATAAAGTGAAATGTGTTTTTTTATTTTAATGTAGTCTTTGCTTATCTTATTAGAAGAAAAAAATTATTTTTCCAGATACTATCTAAACACATGCTGCAGAATTATGTTCTGTATGCATTGGACAACATTTGGAAAGTATTATTTATAGGCCTTGTGGAAGAGTGCCAGTAAGTTTCCATGTTTGATTGTAACACATCAGTGTAGTGCTGTTTTTGTTCATGCTTATATCTCTAATGGAATTATTTCTTTATGGCAGTTACTTTCAACAATTCTTCTAAGTTGCCTCTGATACAAGTCATGTGAAAGCTTAAAGAGTTTTTTTTCATTAGTTATTATTGAAATGTTTTCTGCCATTTGACCAGAGGTACACTAACACTGAATTTGTGTTTCTAGATTGTTGAGTCATTAAGCACAAGCCTCAATAAACACTCGAATATCTGTCCACATTGCTGGTACAAGGCTGTGTTCAAATGCTGAAAACAGGATGAAAGAGTATCCACAGGCTATTCATATTGCTGTACTAAATATATTTCTTTTCCAATAACATCTTAGTTTCAGAAAGCGTTCATTGTATTAGTCACTATTATTAAATGCCAAAACAATGGTGATTGGTGACATTCCTTGCTTGGCAATACTATTTGAAGGAAAGCAGGGAAGATATTTTCCCAGAGCAGTATTTTTTTGTTCTCTATGGAAACCAGAGCAACCATGCCAAGACTGTGTGTTTGGCTTGCGTTACAGTTAGCACCCAACTCAATATCAAATGCTCTGACAGCTCTAGAGTTATGTGGGGACACCATGGAAACTTTTTTACATAGATTTTTAGCAATTATATCCTGTTGATGCAAAATTGACTGGTGAAAGTGACAATGTATGAAACTCTTAAGTTTGCTGATAATTAACTAAAACTGTGTTTTACAAAAATGATTTTTCTATTCAGTGCTTTCATTTTGTGAAGCATATATTCTGTGCAAATATCCTACAGCAAGTTTGTCAGGCACCATATGTAGCCATGATTTTGCTAGCTATATATGACAGACTTTCAAAAGGCTTTTTATATTTGGTATGTTCAGTTAAAAAAATACAACCTTATGCATCTTTTAAATTTTCTGCCCTGCATATTACATCATAATTTCAACATCAAATCACCTATTTTGAAGTCCATAGGTCTCTTAATTTTTCCTCAGTATATAATTGTAAAACAAATTTTGTACCTACTTCACTGTCTTAAGAAGTATCCATGCAAAATTGCAGTTTTTTTCATTCTATCTTGATCAGAAAATACTTAGAGGTAATATTTGGTTTAACAGTTGAAAAAAATCACTTTTATAAATAATATATTGACACCTAGAATTATTTTTAATAACCCAAGATGATTCTATAGAAGTCATGGTTGGCATTTTTGTCTACCCCAATGGTAGGCAGCCAATAATTTGATTTTAAGTTAACATCTTTTTATGTGAATTTCTGACATACGACAAAATTGTTGAATAATTTGTTTTCAGATTTTGCCCTGATTTTGTTTAAAAAATAAGGTGCAGAAGATGAAAAAATTGCAGTAACAGTACTACTGTTTATTAAACACAATTTATGTAAAGATGCAAGTCACTATGTATAGTTAAAGTAGCAAAATGTTGGTCTTAGCCTAAAGCTTATGTAAAAATGCCAGACATATTTAATGAAATATTGTACCTAAACTGTACTTTAAGTTGAAATTTTGCAGTATATTTTAGCTCCTGGAATGCCCTATCACCTTCTTTCACATGTCCATATAACTTATACATTGTTATACATTGAATGTTTCTATATATTTGCCATGAAGTTTTATACAAGAGTGGCTGTTGTGGCAAATATGCCACGCAAAAGCAGATTGTCTTTGATATTTATGAATATATTTATTTGATTCTCTTTTTTGATGTTGTTGCTACTGATCTATTAGGTGATTAATTCTATTAGTGCTAAATAAGTCATTTTAAGAGGATGTACATATACCTGGCTCAAGTATTTTTACAATCACTTTTCTGAGATTTTCATAATTATAATTGTGAAAGTTGTCAGAATCAAGTTGGAACTACTGTGTCAATCCCTGACAAATGGAGCTGAGGCAGGTCATGAATGGAGGGGTCTATGCTTGCATGCCTAATAACAAGAACCGTTATAAAAGACTGAAAATTGCCATCTTGCACAAAGGCTACTGCAACATTACAAGTGTATACACACACACACACACACACACACACACACACAAATGCACACACACACTTTTCTGTGACTTCTGTGAGGGCATCTGCCCAGCAAGTGCCTGGTCAACCTTGTGTTGACACCACCCTTATTACTGATCCCTGTAGCCAAGAATAATTGTTTCAAAACAATTAATTCTTCTCATTTTTCTTTGACACCTCTTACTTTCCTTTACTTTTCTGAATACACACGTAGTTTACTATGGCACATGTATTCCCATTGTGATGCCCATTCCTGAATAAATACCATTTTCTATTGGAGAGTCTCTCTTTCTGTTCATTTATAAGTTTGATATATTTTAGTTTTCAGAGGAGGGATCAAACTAGCTCACCTAGGATGTTAGTGACCCTTGGAATCCAATGTACTACAAACATTGAGTCCTTGTAAGAGCTCTGCTTCCACCCTTCAGCTTTTCTCTCTGATGAGTCTCCTCTGAGATTCTCAGACTTCCTCCTCCCTTTGGTGAGCTATTTTGCCTCTTTATTTGGGATCTGTTTCTGTTATAAGATTGCCTTAAGTAAAGGACCTTGCATCCCTCTTGCGGCTATAAACATTAGTTTATGTATTTATTAGCAACGCTTTTTGGTATAAAAAGTTTCCTTTTGGTTTGAGTACTGTGTCTTCTACAGAATTTATATTCTGTCTGTGAGGCATGTATTTTCCGGTGAATTAACTTTTAGCTCTTTCTGCATGTGTAATTTAATTTTTTTTGTTTGGTCTGCATACCTGTTTTAATATTTCTGTGAGCAAACTTATTTTGGTTTTATTTTTAGTTGATTATGTATACCTGTAAATAATTCGTGTCTTTTACTTTTTTTTTCCCTGCTCATTTATGAAAATCTTCCAAGAGCAAAAAATAAACATTCTAAATTGTGGGTGCAGAATGGCTAATTAAAACCCACTAGGGTGGGTCACCACAGTCTAAGACGCTGTTCCAAACTCCTGACATTCCCTGACAAGATTTATAGGATTTTGTTTGCTCTGGGGATATTAACAAGAAATAGACCGGGACTCTCAAAATTCTGAAGCATGTCAAGCCCTCTGGGAATCCAGCCAGTGACATGGCTTTTCCTTGTGCATGTTTTTAAATGAAAGAGCATCGTGGGGAATATTCAAACTCCTCAAGCTTGATTTTCTGACTTGAATTAGAAACTACAACTATAGGGTTAACATGTAGTCTTCGAAGTCCTCTATCTCTCTATTTGTTTCCTGCCTACTTTGAATCTGCTGACTTTTCTACTGATATTAAGATAAACTCACTGCTTATATCACTCCAGCCAAGATAGGGGAAAAAAATATCTTAAAGGGCTTTCAAATTAATGGCTTTACAAATTACAACAGCTCCATGGCAACCAAAACCCTAAACACCTGAGTCATCCCTTTTGGAAATGTAAATTTAGGTTTGCCTAACTACCAACTGCTTAGGGTGATAGAACAGTTAACCGAAGGATTGATATTCTAAAAAGAAAATAACTACTATGTTTATAAAAGTTAGGCTTTCAGATCAAATAAGTCAAAATCTTGAGCTCAAGACAATAATATAACTCTGTCCGGCATAAAAAAAATTGCTTTGTCTGCCATACAGGAGCCAAAAAAAAACCCTTAAAAAATCTTTAAAACACTTTTCTAAAATGCCTCCTCACCTGCACTGACTAATTAAGACAACTGGACTAGCAAACAAAAGAAAGATTTCTTACTAAAAATTTGAGCCTTCTTGGAGATACTGGTTTCTTTATGCAATTCAATCAGTCCTAGCTAAAATGTAAATATTTGAAAATTTAACCCCTCAACTAATTGAAAACTGAAAAAAAGGGGAAAAAAAGGAAAAGAATTTGTTTTTCCAATCAAACTGATTTACCTGAAATTTTGGTCAACAGTCTTCAAAGGATTATTATCAGAGCAAATAAAATTAGCCGTGTGAACAGGTCTCATTTTGTCAAAAATATAATTTTTGGACTCAGCTGTTATTTTATAAACCGGTAAATATATATTGCTATTTGTTAATGTCTTTTGGATAAAACTTTAAAATAAAAGCTATCTCTGTGTGTGTGTGTGTGTGTGTGTGTGTGTGTGTGTGTTTAGGTGTTGTTATGCATGTGACTATATGTTGTACATTGTGTCTACATGGTAGAATCTCTACTTAGTTTACCAGAGGTCCCTTAAGAAATTCTACTTAAATTGGCTTAAATACATGGGTACACATTTAATTGTTAAAATATTTAGTACTTACACCAAATGTCTTTTAGTTTATGTGAATTAATTTTTGATAAATTAGCTTGTTTTAAATTTGTTGATAACATAAAAATAGAAATGCCCTCAGAATTGTCAGCATACATTTTTGCCTGGATTTACTGGTCAGCCATGATTACAATTGTCCCTGATTGATGTTTTAAGCTGTCAAAGTTTGACATACAGATTATAAAACTATAAATGCAGCTTTATTAAAAGCAAAATGATATTTGTGTAACACTTTTATAAAAAAATTTATATTGTTGGTTTACTAAAAACAGCTGTGTCTTCTGAGTTATCAGCAAAATTCCCATCTGTTTAACTTTGTTTCTTAAGTGAATACCTGATATTCACAGGCTCTAAAAATGGTTAACCGAAAGACAGCTTGAAATAATGACTAGCTTTGTTTAATATCTTAGTTTTCATAACTAAACTAGGTATAATTTTGTTAAATACATAAACTAGGTAAATGTTAATAAGATAAACTTTTATTAATAAACTTTTAATGCCATTTGAAATCTTAAAGTTATGTTAATGATGGATACTCATTAAATTAGTTATTCACAAATGAAATAAACTAATAAAACATACATTGCTTAAAATAAATATAAATTTTTTCTTGGCTTCTTAATTTTTTATAGAAAGATAATGTGTTTGAGTCCATGAATATATATAAACATTATAGAATGCAGAAATATATCTCTAAAAATTATAAGACTGTTCTCATCTACAGAATACTGATATGTGACAATTTAAAATGTCTAAAGTTTTCAGTAGAAATTAAGGTTTCTAAGAGTCAAAAATTCTAATTTTTATATCTATATATCTCATTCTGTATACAAAGGTATAACAAAAAAAGAGAATACCTTTGTATGAGAAATAATCTTATTTGCTAGATTTTTTTGTCGTCACGTAAAATGACTGGTTATTTAAGAAAAAGGAAGTATACGCAGGGCATAGTGGCTCACGCCTGTAATCCCAGCACTTTGGGAGACCGAGGTGGGTGGATCACGAGGTCAGGAGATCCAGACCATCCTGGCCAACATGGTGAAACCCCGTCTCTACTAAAAATACAAAAATTAGCTGAGGGTGGTGGCACATGCCTGTAATCCCAGCTACTGGAGAGGCTGAGGCAGGAGAATTGCTTGAACCTAGGGGCAGTGATTGCAGTGAGCCGAGATTGCACCACTGCACTCCAGCCTGGCGGCAGTGCAAGACTCCGTCTGAAAAAAACAAAACAAAACAAAACAAAAAAAGAAGCAGTATAGGACAAAACTAAAGGTCTAAGTAAGTCACGAAAGGTTTATGAAAAATGAATTTCTGAAAGAAATTTTGTGTGTGATTAAGTTGGCTATAATTAGAAGGGAATTACAAATTTTTCTAAACATTGAGCTTTAATATTAAAAATATACTGACACAAAACTAATATGTTGTCCCCTTAGCTTAGAACAAGAAGATTTCCTTGAAGTATTGATCTGATCTTAGTAAAATTTGTGAGTGGTTTTGATTAATTTTGGAATCTGTTTCTTTAAATTTCCAAACATCTTCTAAACTGCAGCTTTACAGTGTAGAGAATATTTATTTCTCCAGTACACTTGATTCTGTACTCTTTGCTTTTCTTGACATGTCTGAATTGTTCCATGTAATCATAAAACTTTCTGTACTTTTCCTAAGAGCCACGTATTCCGCTTCACAAGTTACTAGTTTTCTTGTTCACATTCCTCTTTTATGTGGTGTATACTCATAACCTTGGACATACACTCTTCCTATGTCTGATTAAGTTCACGCAGATTTTCATCAGGTTTAACTTCCCAGTTATCTCAGTGCGTTTTTCATAAGAAGAAGCAGTCACACTGCAGGGGCTTTTCTTTAGCTTTTATGTAACTGGCTTAAGAAAAAATATGTTCTGTTTCATCAGTGTAACTTCATGTGTTTCAAATTGTATTTATTGGTTTTTATTGATTACTTAGGAAAAATGAGTTTCAAAAATGTTCTGTGTAACTTTCTGTATTGCTTTTGAAATCTTTTGATTATCACTCTGATTAAGTGATGACAATTATTTCATAATGACATGTGATACTGTTTCAATCAGTTGTTTTAAACTGTTGACACCTGTGGCAGCTTCTCTAGTATTAAAGTTCTAGATTAAGTCTTTTCGACCAGCATTAACTTTGATACTTTCTAGTTGGGTCCAGAGAACTTCAAAGGAAGTACCTCTCATTTTATAGAGATATGAAATAAGTAGGCTTCTTTGATGTGTTAAACTGTATGGGAAGTGTGGTCAAATGACAAGTGATTCTGGATCTTCTTTCAGTTACATTCTTGGGTATACTATTAATAAGTATTTTAAAAATTATATAACTTCAAAGAAATCTAATAACATTAGTCATAATTTTGGTGGTCATATGAAAATATTGTATGCCATGGAAATAACCAAATTTCCTTGTCAATTGCTAGTTATAATGAACGTCCATCAGAATTTTAACTATGGCTATTCTATTAATAAGTCTTTGTCATCAACACTTTTGACTTCTCACTAAAGAAACCTGTAATCAAATTCATGAGAAAAAGTCTAACAAGTACTCTTGAATACAGGGTTTTAATAACTTTAAGATCGATGAAGTAAATAAAAATTTTCCAGAACGCTAATGAAGCTACTGATGAATTTGTGAAACTACTAAACAAGATCAAGCAGAATGAAAATGTAATACATGAGATTGAATAACTAATAAAAATATTGGTTGTATGGTTTTAATTTGAAATATTGTTGGTTCTTTACTTAAAGCTTTTGTTTTTCAGATTTAAGAAAAGTTTCTCTTAAACAATCTCGTATTTCTCTAATGACCAGTGGTGATTAGCTTTTTTTCATATGTTTGTTGGCCACATAAATGTCTTCTTTTGAGAAGTGTCTGTTCATATCCTTCACCCACTTTTTGATTGGTTATTTTTTTTCTTGTAAATTTGCTTAAGTTCCTTGTAGATTCCGGATATTACACCTTTGTCAGATGGATAGATTGAAAAAATTTTCTCCCATTCTGTAGGTTGCCTGTTCACTCTGATGATAGTTTCTTTTGCTGTGCAGAAGCTCTTTAGTTTAATTAGATCCCATTTGTCAATTTTGGCTTTTGTTGCTATTGCTCTTGGTGTTTTAGTCATGAAGTCTTTGCCCACGCCTATGTCCTGAACGGTATTGCCTAGGTTTTCTTCTAGGGTTTTTATGATTTTAGGTTTTACGTTTAAGTCTTTAATCCATCTTGAGTTAATTTTTGTATAAGTTGTAAGAAAGGGGTCCAGTTTCTGTTTTCAGCATATGGCTAGCCAGTTTTCCTAGCACCATTTATTAAATAGGGAATCCTTTCCCCATTGCTTGTTTTTGTTAGGTTTGTTGAAGATCAGATGGTTGTAGATGTGTGGTGTTATTTCTGAGTTCTCTGTTCTGTTCCATTGGTCATTAGAGAAATGCAGATCAAAACCACAATGAGATACCATATCACTCCAGTTAGAATGGTGATTATTAGAAAGTCAGGAAACAACAGATGCTGGAGAGGATGTGGAGAAATAGGAATGCTTTTACACTGTTGGTGGCAGTGTAAATTAGTTCAACCATTGTGAAAGACAGTGTGGTGATTCCTCAATGATATAGAACCAGAAATACCATTTGACCCAGCAATCTCATCACTGAGTATATACCCAAAGGATTATAAATCACTCTGCTGTAAAGACACATGCACACATCTGTTTATTGCAGCACTATTCACAATAGCAAAGACTTGGAACCAACCCAAATGTCCATCAATGATATACTGGATAAAGAAAATGTAGCATATATATACCATAGAACACTATGCAGCCATAAAAAGAATTAATTCATGTCTTTTGCAGGAACATGGATGAAACTGGAAACCATCATCCTCAACAAAGTAACACAGGAACAGAAAACCAAACACCATATGTTCTCACTCATAAGTGGGAGTTGAACAATGAGAACACATGGACTTAGGGAGGGAAACAACACACACTGGGGCCTGTTGGGGGTGGGGGGAAGGGGAGGGAGAGCATTAGGACAAATACCTAATACATGTGGGGCTTAAAACCTAGGTGACAGGTTGATAGGTGCAGCAAACCACCATGGCACCTGTATACCTATTTAACAAACCTGCATATTCTGCACATGTATCCCAGGACTTAAATAAGTAAAATTAAAAATAAAATTAAAAAAACTATCTAGTGTTTACAAGAATTTGGGAAAGTATGCTTTTGTGAACAAACATAAAAACATTTACTTTTTCTCCCAACTTAATCCCTTCAAAATTTGGAAACTATCAATGAGTATCCTTATATTTATGACAATATAGTTTTTGAATAAGTTTGATAAGAGTCTGCTTTTTTTTTAATAAGATAAAATTGAAAACATTCCTGTATCACTTAGATTTTGATGGGAATGCCGTATTTAAATTGCTCATAGGCCCTGCTGGCAAAATTTAAAGCCTGCCTTGGTTTGGCTTTGCTGCCTCAAGAGGTTTTTAAACCTGAGACTCCTACGTAGTCAAATCACTATTCTTTCTGCACTTGTATAAATGATCAGGCAAAATTTGATAACACTTAGCTTATTTTACAAGCAAATTTGCCTTACTGTTAACTTTGGTAGAAATTGGGATGACTGTGTAGAGAAAGTTATGTTACTAAAGAAACACTATGGTACACCTGCTATTGGATTGTAGACTTTTACATTGCTTTTGAGTTACTGTTATCAATCTGTAGACTGGACTGGATCCTAAATTCTTCTGAGAAACTCCATTCCAACTTTCTTCCATGGAACTACTAAAAGGCAGAATTGCTCTGATCCTAAAGCCCTCTAAGGTAACACTAGATGAATTTTAAGACACAAGTGTCATGCTTGATACATGAGCCACACAGAAAGTTCACCAAATTGCCTGATGCTATTACCAGAGACATTCAAACTGCAAGTCAGGGTAAGAAGCTGACGTTTTCACACTGTAGAGAGCTTTTCCCAAGATACGAAAAAAAGACTTCATATTATAATACTCTACCCTTATCCCACTTAATGCCTATATTTTTTACTTGGAAAGACAATGGTGGAATTAAAATTTCATAATCAGTAACTTCTGAGGATATCTTGACATAATGTTGAATCATGCCAAACCTAGATCTTTACGTGACCTAGGGGATCCTTTAATACTTTACTTACATGGTGAATAACTTTGGCAACATCTCTAACGTATCTTTTTCTTCAGAGGTACTATTGGTTCCTTTTTAGAACAATCTTTGCTTTAATCCAACCCAATCATGAGATACTAAGTGATATAATTTCTGTATATTATGTATTGGTTAAATAAGAAAGTATCTATGCTATTGCTAACACTACATCCTGTACCTGGATAAATTCCTCTGGGGAATTTGAGACCCAGATACATAAAATAAGAAGACAGGCCACGTGGTTACAACAGGTCTTACCTAATTCCCCATGATCATTTAATGTATGGAGTTAAGCTTAGGTTCATGACTCAAAAACACATTACTGTTAATTTAACTTTGTATTTCCTTTTTCAAAACTTTTAACCTCTTCCTTGTACGTCTGCAGAAGTAGAAGTCCTAACAGAATAAGGCCGGTCCAGCACTTTGATGTGATAGCCAGTATCTATGGAACAAACAAAAATTGAACATAACAAGGGACTCCAGGTACACTTAGCCTAAGAGCCACTTCCTGGAGATATTCCTTTTTGCTCAACTGTAATAAGTGGGTTTTGACACTCATTTCTAGTTCCCAGTTACTTCCTCTCATGTGGAACTGGCCAACAAACTTAAAGAGGTCCATCCTGGTAACAAGGGACAATTAAAAGCTAACTCAAAGTTGATTGATCAACAATGCTTTGGAGAAAGAACTTGATCAAAACGGGGAAATGTAAAAGTTGTCAGAATCAAAATGGAGTCACTAGTGTGAAGCCCTAACAAATGAAGCTGAGGAAGGCCATGAAGGGTGGGTTCTCACACTTGAACTATCACAGAAGACTCTGCAGAAACCACAACCATGCACAACCATGCACAGGATGTGTGTGTATATATGTACATATATGTATACATATGTACGTATTATGTGTATATATATATAATTCTATGAGGAATTATACATATATACATATCATTATGTATATATGTATACATATATACATATATGTCCATATATATACATACGTACATATATGTGTGTGTATATGCATAATTCTATGAGGACATCTGCCCAGGAACTGCCTGTCCAACATTGGACTGATGTCACCTTTGTTCTTGACATTTATAGCCAAGGATAATTGATTTGAAGCACTTGTGTAACCCTTCTTGTTTTTTCGTTAAAAGCCTTTCTCTTCCTTTAACTCCCTCACTATGCACATAGTTTACTATGGCGTATTTATTACCATCGAAATGCCCACTCCTGAATACATATTATTATTTAGAGAGTCTCCTGCTCTTATTTGCCATTAAGTTTGACATAATATTTCTCTTTGCATTAAAATGAAAATTAAAATGATATCAAAACAGCATCTGTCTCTTTCTCTCTTTCTCCTGCATGATTTATGTCAATTTTAATGCTAGATCACATAGCACCTTTGTGCAAATTATAAAGCAGCACCTCTTACTTTTGGCAAATTCAAGGGTGTGTGGCTTGGAAATGGGCAGTAGCTTGGGTTTGAGCTCCCAGTTGCCCCTTCAGCTGAGTGCTTTTATTCAGGGCACTTCCTATTTTTCTTTTCTTATGGCCCTACACACTTTTAATACTTAATTTTTAATAAAGAAGGGTCAAGTAAATTTAGTAGAGAAAGTGGAAAGCATTATTACTGAAGTTAATTTTTAAAATTTATTCTACATGAGACCTTTAAATCCCACTAGCAACCTCCTGTTTATAAGAAAAAAAAGATTATGAAGTAATTTTTAATTTTTAACAATTGAAGTATAATTCACATAACATTAAGTCGACTCTTTTAAGAAACTCCTAAATCTCATTAGAAAAAAAAAAAAAGAATACAAAACTAATTCGATTACAAAACAGCAAAGGACCTGAATGGACATTTCTCCAAGGAAGATACACAAATGACCAACAGGCATATGGAAAAGTGCTAACATCACTGATAATGATGGAAATGTAAATTAAAACAAGAATGAAAAATGAGGTATTACCTCACAGCTGTTAGGATGACTGTCATCAAAAAAGAAAAAGAAAACTGAAAGATAACAAGCATTAGCAAGAAATTGGAACTCTTGTTGTATGCTGTGGGTAAGAATGTAAAATGTTTCAGCCATTATGGGAAACAGTCTGAAAGTTCCTCAAAATTAAAAACAGGACTACCATATGATCCGGGAATCCCACCTCTGGGCATATATTCAAAGAATTAACATTAGGATCTTCAAGAGATGTCTGTACTTCTGTGCTCATTGCAGCATTGTTCACAATAGCCAAAATATGGAAACAACCCAAATATCATTAACAGATGAATAAACAAAATATGATGTATACAGACATGTAATGGAATAGTATTCATGCTTTGAAAAGAAGAAAACACTGCCATTTGTTACAACATGGATCAACCTGGAGGACATTATCCTAAGTAAATAAATCCATCACAGAAGGACTGTATTGCATGCTTTGATTATATGAAGTATTTAAAATTGTCAAATTCATAGAAGCAGAGAAAAGAATGGTGGTTTACAGGGGCTGGGAAGACGGGTATCAAGGGATCTGTTTCTCCACAGGTTTACAATTTCAATTATGCTGTTTTGATGTGTATTTCCTAATAACTCATAATTTTAATCATCTTTTCTTTTGTGTATTAGCTACTTGTATATCATCTTTGGAGAAATGTCTACTCAAGTCCTTTGGTCATTTTTAAATTTTTATTTGTAAATTATATCCTTGAGTTGTAGAAGTTCTCAATATGTTCTGGAATCTAGTCTCTTATCTAATAAAGGATTTGTACATTTGTTCCATTCTGTGTGGCCTTTTACTTTACTGATTGTGTCTTTTGAAGGATAAAAAGTTTAAACTTTGATGAAGTCATGCCTGAATATTTTTCTTTCATTGTTTTTTGTGCTTTTGATGTTCATTGCTAAAAAATCATTGCCTGGTTCAAGGTCATGAAAATTTACATTTAGATCTTTGACCAATTTTGAGTTGTTTTAGATATGATGTGAGGTAATGACAGGATTTTTTTTTTTTTTTTTTTTTTTTTGAGACAGTATCTCACTCTCTCACTCAGGCTGGAGTGCAGTGGTGCATTCATAGCTCACCAACGCCTCTACCTCCAGGGCTCAAGCAATCCTCCCAATTACGTGAACATGATTGAAAGTAGGGTAGGTTGGAGGAAGGATCCAGACAAGAAGAATAGCATATGCAAAGGCCCAAAGGGAGACATGCAGCTGTTTGAACAATACTGAAAATAGGTCACTTTCGCTTTCATGGGCAGGGTTACAAGTGGTGGGGCGTAAAAACAGGTAGTTGAAAATAGAAGTGTCAGCAGAGGGGCATGGACAGTAGATGATACAGATCTCAAGAGTACTAATAAGCAGTTAAAGACTTTCTCTTGAGTAGAGTGAGCAGCTATTAGCATATTTTTACTAGGAAAATGACATGACCTGATTTGCATAACAAGGATCACACCAACATCAGTGGATTGGTAGGGTTTAAGAATGAAGTCAGCAAACAGGTTAACAGGCTGCTACAAAGATTTGTACTTTCCAATGCTTGATTTTCCTACAAAGTATGCATTTCGTCCTAGGCCCGCACCATGTTTCTGTGCAAAAACGAGTGTCCTAAAAATGACTCCCCATTCATGCTACTACTGTATGACCACCTACTAACCTGCTAAATTATAGTCTGTCATCTTTCAGATAAAGTAGATTCACACTTACATTTGGAGAGTAAGAAATGTGTTATCCATATTGTTTAATATCTTGGATAATTTTTTTAAAATGTGCTGTTTCTCATGGAGCTTTATAAAAACCAGTACTGGACACTAATCAGACATACATGCCACAGTAATAAAAATGAAGCAAAAAGTGTTTCTGCACTTTTATAGTGAGCGAGTTTCTTACCTGATAATGCATTTCTTTTTAAGTGATGAATGTAAGGAACTGGCAGTTTTAAATTAGGGGTTATGCAAAGGGTAGCCAAGAGGAAGAGAAATCAAATACCTTTTGTTTAAAAGTAGAATTAAAATGAGGCCAACAACCTGAGGGAGGTGATGTGAGACTGATTATAGGAATATCACGACGGTGTTTGTGTTAGTTAAAATATAGAAGCAATTTTTCCAAAAGTATTTTTATAAGACTCCAGCATGCCTTAAAAAGATTAAAAGTTCGTTAAATCTATAGTAGTTATAACTGTAACTAAACCACAAGGCAAAGAAAAAAAATTAAGTTATAATTTAAACTAAACTGAGCTGGATGAAGTGGCTCATGCCTGTAATCCCAGCACTTTGGAAGGTTGAGGCAGCTGGATCCCTTGAGCTCAGGATTTTGAGAATAGCCTGGCCAACATAGTGAAACCCTGTATCTACTAAAAATAGAAAAATTAGCTGGGCATGCTGGTGTGTGCCTATAATCCCAGCTACCTGGGAGGCTGAGGCATGAGAATCTCTTGAATCTGGGAGGCGCAGATTGCATTGAGCCGAGATGGCACCACTGCTGAGGCAGACAGATCACTTGAGCTCAGGAGATCGAGACCAGCCTGGCCAACACTCCAGCCTGGATGACAGAGCAAGACTCTGTCTCAAAAAAAAAAAAAAAAGAAAAAAAAAAGAAAACAAAGAAAGAAAACAAAGTAACTAAACTGGAAAGCAAAGGCAAAGAGCAATGGTCTGTTCCACAATCAGCTTGTGCAAAGGTATACACATGCAGGATAAATTCCACAGCCATTCTGAGGTATACCTTCTTAACCACAGATAACCAGTAAAAGGGCCAATATATGTTATGATTCTGGATTCAAGCAAAAGTTAAAAACCATCTTCATTCCAATTAGAAATGCAGTGATTACTTAAATCTCTACTATCTAATTTCCATCTTTAAGGACGCCTGACAGTGACACCTGATTAAATAGCCAAGAAAACAAGTGCTGGCGTTCACTGAGGGGCTCAGACACTGGGGTGATGGTCTCAGAGTAATCTTCATTGTAGTTCCAGGGCAAATTTACTTTCTCTGAAATTTTGAGCAAGACACTAAAACTGTCACCTCTGGTAATGTGGAAAATACTGAATGTACTGAATAGACTTGGAGTCTAGCTAAGGGGACTTCCAGGCAGAATACTGAAAATGCTATCTAGCTTCTGCTCACTGTCAATGACCAGTGCCAATGGAGAGCATCGAAGAAAAGAACACATTTTGTAGTTTTCTAATAGAATTTGCAGGACATTGTAAAGCGTCCGTGGCAGTCTTTCCAGTTAGCGAACTGAACTTAAAGCTTGGAAACAGTCTGGGGCAAAGATTAAAATTAATCCATGGCTATGACTATACAAGCCTTTATTCAGATTTTACAAAGATCCAAGGCCGTTGCATGAAGATACTTTCAGGAAGCCAGGGGCCTTGTAAATGTATGATGGCTGTGCCTGGGCAGGCCCTCACCGGTAAACAATAGGGATTCTAAAAATCTGAAGGATATTGTCCTTAAAACGCATCAGAAATAGTGAAGGTAGAGAAGGACATACCCAAAACAAATGTGTGGGTGTGGCTTCTTCTAATGGAGTAGATAATTGTTTCATAAGAAGCCTATAAAGTTTTAGAAATTTTACCAGGTTAGATTAAAAGAGACAGAGAATAGCCCAACTGAAATGAATATTGAGACCTCTAAATTTTTATGAGCAGGAGACAGGCTGAAAAAACTGCATCTGTGAACATGGGTTATTTCTTACGAGAAAGCATGTCTCAGAAGGTGAAACAAAGGATTAGAATACAGACCCTGCAGTCACAGGGTTCTAACCTCGGTGCAATATGGGGCCCTAAACGGAGGTAATTGATGAGTGTCCTGCTGGGTTTAATATTGCTACAGGCCAGGGACTGCCATGTATGGCCTGTTTCCTCGCTTTGAATTGAATTAGGTATTGCTGTTGTACAAAAGCCTGCCTAGCCCTCCATTTTGTGTTGAGTATATGGAAAGCAAATAACTTGTTTTTTTGGTTAATAGGCCTTTAAACCAAGAGAAGACATACCTGAGCAATTGAACCAGAAGGGATGAGCCCCACCTGGATCTGATGCAGATTAAAATATCTTGGACCTTGGGCCTGAGCTTGGAATGGAATGAGACCTTTGAGGATCTTAGTGGGGAGTAAGTATGTTTTGCAAAAGGGAGAAATGGAAATAATTTGTGCTGAGAAGTTGGACTATGGCAGCTTGAGGTCAGTGAAGACATCACTACACAAGCTTTGGTACTCCTGCCATTAAGACATAAAGACAGTTTTCTTTCCCTTTAAATCAAAACAGGCTTGGAATGTTTTAACCAATAGAGTATGCCAGAAGTGACCCATAGAATGTGACGGAAGTGACCTCATGTGACTTTTGAGCCTAGATCATAAAAAACCATGAAGCTTATGCCATGTTCCATGGGTTGTACCAATAAGAGCCCTGATCTACTAGATAAGCCTCCTGGGGATGCCATGTACTTTTTTCTTATACGTTACAATTGTCTTAAGGAAAGGGTGATGCCAATTATAACATGACACAGCGATTTTTGAAAATGTTTTGCACATTACTGTGATATTTTGAATTAAATTTTAGATTCACTTTCAATTCCTTGGTTTTTTTTGGTTTTTGTTTGTTTGTTTGTTTGTTTGTTTTTTAGAATCTCAGAGTTCTTCAAAGAGAAAAAAAAAGAAAATCATATTTGGGCTTAGACTGTAGTTAGTATCTTAGCTCTGGCTGATATAACAAAGTACTGTAAACTGGGTAGCTTCTAAACAACGGAAACTTATTTCTCACAGCTCTAGAGGCTGCAAGTCTGAGATCAGGCTGCCCACATGGTCAGGCTGTGATGAAGGCCTTCTTCTGGGTTGCAGATGGCTGTCTTCTTGTATCCTCACATGATAGAAAGAGGGTGTAAGACCTCTTGGAGTTCTTTCCATATGGGCACTAATCCCATTCATGGGAATTCTACCCGCCTGGTTTAATGACCTCTTAGAGGCTCCACCTCTTAATACCATCACCTTGGGTATTAGAATTTCAACATATCAATTTGGGAAAACACAAATGTTCAATCCACTGCAGTTAGCTTAGAGATTTGCAAGGAAACCTCATTAGAAGGCTTGATCATATAGGTAATAACCTTCCACAGTATGTGTTTTAATGGAAAGAATAATGTGAGAGTCAGCCAGGATTCCTGTGTTCCTTCCTTACTCTGCCACTTAATTAACATGTAAAGTTCTCAGTTTTTCTCATCTTCAAAATAAACATATTTCATAACTGATATGGTTTAGCCTTAAGTCCCCACCCAAATCTTATCTTGAATTGTAATCCCCAGGTGTTAAGGGAGGAACCTGGTGGGAAGTGATTGGATTATAGGGGCAGTTTCCCCCATGCTGTTCTCATGATAGTGAGTGAGTTCTCATGAGATCCGATGGTTTTATATAATAAACGGTAGTTTTTCCTGTGCTCTCTCACACTCTCTCTCACCTGCTGCCATTAAGACGTGCCTTTGCTTCTCTCTCACCCTCCACCATGATTGTAAGTTTCCTGAGGTCTCCCCCGCCATATGGAACTGTGAGTCAACTAAATCTCTTTCCTTTATAAATTACCAAGTCTCCAGTATGTCTTTATAGCAGTGTGAGAACAGACTAATACAATAACATAGCAACTGTTGTAAAAATTGACTAGTATAAAATTGTATGACTTTGCAAACTGCGTCTCTATATAGAAATGGTAATTGCGAGCATCAGTCATGCCAGCTGATTTTCATTTTGGTAAGCTGAGCTTCTCCACCTTGCCTCACTTCCCTGACTGTGCCTTCTGCTACTTCATCCAAATCACCTGAAGGGCTCTTGTAAACACAGATTGCTGGGTCCCATCACCAGTGTTTCAAATTCAGCAGGTCTGTGGTGGGGCCCTAGAATTTGCATTTCTACCAAGTTTCCAGATGACGTTGATGTCGCTGGTAAGACAACTGTTTGAAAACCACAGATTCAGCAGGTGAAATGAGCCAGGGTTGTTTTGTTGTTGTTGTTGTTTGTTTTTTGTTTTTTGTTTGTTTTTTTAAAATAAGCAATATGCGTAGTGGGAGTGACCTCTGGTCATGTTTGCATGGGTCTTACCCAAAAGGCAGATGACATTGTTTACCTTTAAAATGTATTTCTTTCATGTTTTTTGTTATTTACTTTGCTCTTGCTAAAACATCATTTTTGAACAAGTAAAATCATTCTTTTTATCCGAAAAAAGATACTTGTATCATTCAAAATCAAGAATGTAAGCTCCACGTAGCCAGCGATTTTACCTGGCCTTATTTATTCTTTTCTTTTTACCTAGCATCTAGAAAGTAAGTAACTGGTATAAAATAACCGTTAAATAAATATTTGGAGAAAGAATCAATAAAGCATTATACTTATAAGGTAAAAATAGAGAAAGTATATAATAGTAATGAAAAGACCATTATTAAACTTATTAATTTATGAACTAGTATTTTTTTCAATTTAACAAACTTATTATCCTGTTTTATGTTTTCTTCAATTTTATTTTATTTTGGATTCAGAGAGTACAGGTGGATGTTTCTTATGTGGGTATATTGTGTACTGGTTGGAATTGGGCTTCTAGTATACCTATTACCCAAATTGTGAACATTGCATCCCATATGTAATTTTTCAATCCTCACCCACTTCCTAACTCTCTTGGAGTCCCCAGTGTCTATTATTTCCATTTTTATGTCTCTTTGTATCCATTGTTTAGCTCCCACTTATAAGTGAGAACATTGCTTATTTAATTCTCTGTTTCAGAGTTAGTTCACTTAGAATAATGGCCTCCAGCTTCATTCATGATGCTGCAAAGGACATGACTTCATTCTTTTTCATGGCTGAATAGTATTATTTGGTTTATATAGACCACAGTTTCTTTATCCAGTCAACTATTGATGGACACTTAGGTTGGTTCCATGACTTTGCTATTGTGAACAGTAATGCAATGAACATATGAGAACAGGCATCTTTTTTATATAGTGATTTATTTTCCTTTGGGTAAATACCCAGTCGTGGAATTGCTGAGTCAAATGGCAATTCTATTTTTTATCCTTTGAGAGATCTCCATAGTGTCTTCCATAGAGGTTGAACTAATTTAAATTCCCAACAACAATGTGTAAGCCTTCCCTTTTCTCCGCATCCCCACCAACATCTGTTGTCTTTTGACTTTTTAATAACAGTCATTCTAACTGATGTGAGATAGTATCTCATTGTGCTTTTAATTTGCATTTGTCTGATTATTACTGATACTGTGCATTTTTCATGTGTTTTTTGGCCACTTATATTTCTTCTTTTGATAAATATCCATTCATGTCCTTTGCCCAGTTTTTAGTGGGGTTATTTTCTTTTACTTTTTGAGTTGTTTTATCCCTTAAAGGGGTATTTAATTAAAAATTAGTAACGATAATAAAGTGTAACTAACATTTTAAATGCTTAGAATGTATCAGATAATATTTTAAGAATTTTAAATTTATTAACTTTAAACAAACAAACTGCCCCATAAAAGAGGAATGCAAAATAATTTCCTATTAGAGATGGTTAGAGCTGAGGCACAGTGGTTAAATAACATGCAAATAGTGCAGATTTACACAATCAGTTTCTCATTTTGAAACTTATTTGAAGAAAAGTGTAAGAAACATATAGTAAGTTAGAAATATAGAAAATTCTGGAACTATGAAATGTAAATTAGAACATAAAGTCAAAATTTCAAATTTTGTTGGGAACAAAGCAGAGAGATGGGTGCAGATGGAACATAATAATGAAGGATATTTGACTTTCCTTCCCAGTAAGAAAAACAAAAGCTATTCAAGTTCACAGGTTAATACATTCTCTTCCAACCGAATGACCTGTAGTTTGCTCTACCTGTTTAGGTACCAAGATGAACTGGCAGAGAAAGTGTATCTTAACTGAATCTCTAATAATGCAATGAAGAGAACTTGTAGAATTAAATTAGAATAAAGAGAGAATTACTTTGTGAACAGCCACCCACAATAAATATAATAAAAGCAAATATCAAATGCCCAAATATGATGCGAATGTCAAAGAGGTTGGGTAATAAGAACAGATTCGGGAGAAGACCTGGGCACCTTTATGGGACAGGTGCTGGCCCTAACCCTAGACTTCTCAGGAGTGGTGAGGTGAGTGGAGAGAGGTATGCAGAGAGTAATAGCTATGGCTTGAATGCTTGTGCGTCCTCCAAAATTCATGTTGAAATTTAATCCCCAGCGCAACAGTTTTATGAGGTGGGGCCTTTAGGAGGTGAGTAGAGGTGGGATTAGTGCCCTTTTGAAAGGACTTGCAGGAGTGAGTTCAGCCCCTTTTGCTGTCTGTCCCTTCCAACTTAGGAAGACACCATTTGCCCTCTGTCCTTTCCAACTTAGGAGGACACCTTCCAAGGTGGCTTTCTAGGTGCCACCTTGGAAGCAGAGAGCAGCCCCCCCGCAAGACACTAAGCCTGCTGGCATCCTCATTTTGGATTTCCAGTTTATCGAACTGTGAAGAAATACATTTATGTTCTTTATTCATTGCCCAGTTTCGGGCATTTTGTTATAGGAACCCAAATGGACTAAGACAGTAATATTTATATAAAAATAGGTGTGTCCATTTATTATTTTTATCCTTTGGAGTTTATCAGTATCTATTTATGCTACGTTTTCAGGGGAGTAAACAAAAAGTACTCTCCAAAAAATGATTTAAACAGGTACTAAGGGCAGGAGCCATAATTAACCGTCTTTATTTTCCGCCATATGTCTAGCACTGTGTATAAAGTTGGCATTCAAAAATTATGTGCTGAATGGCTGAATAAGTGAAACTTAATACTTTAAAAAGGCCTCATCAAAATAAGCAGACATTCATAAACAGCTATAATATAAGATGTATCAAAAATGTCAGAACCTCAAAAATAGAAAGAAATCATTTACACCTGGTAATAAACATAATCTTTATGACAGAGGGGAAATTTTAGCTGTGTCTTTTCCAGATCCATAAATCATTAATTTCTAAAGGTGTTTGTGCTTTGACGTATCATTTTTTTCTTACTCAAATTGACTCTATTCCATACAGATAAAATATTTTTTCAAAGATACATAACTTTTCCTCACTGTCATTTTTTGCACCAAACATATGAAATTATTTCTATCTGTACCATACAGAATAGGCAGTGGGGACTCTATTATGTAACACTGATCAGTCTGTGCCATTTAAACTTCATGTTTGAACTCTCAACAGTATATTACATATGAAAAGTAAAATAACTCTATAGACTGGGCGCGGTGGCTCACGCCTGTAATCCCAGCACTTTGGGAGGGCAAGACAGGTGGATCACAAGGTCAGGAGATCAAGACCATCCTGGCTAACATGGTGAAACCCCATCTCTATTAAAAAATACAAAAAATTAGCTGTACACACCTGTAATCCTAGCTACTCAGGAGGCTGAGGCAGGAGAATTGCTTGAACCTGGGAGGTGAAGGTTGCAGTGAGCAGAGATTGCACCACTGCACTCCAGCCTGGGTGACAGAGTGCGATTCCATCTCAAAAAATAAATAAATAAATAAATAATAAATAACTCTTTAAACTCCAACTCAACGCAAAAATAAACATTCTACATTATTGAACCAGAATCATTCAGAATGGTCTAGATCTCCTCTTACACTCAAGCTAGGAAATTAATGATGCTTTCAAAGATATTTTTTCAAAGTTTCAAATTTACATAATTTGATGACACAAGTATATGGGTAAACATTTCCTAACTGCAGCAAAAACATTTTTGCTAAATCTATGGGTATCAGGAAAAAGTAAATCAACTAGCAGAAGAGCTTGGCTAACTATCTGCAAACACCTGGATTTCAGAAAGGTATCATTCACACTGGAATGACTGACTTGACAGTTTTCCTAATACTGACCAGCCTTACTTGTAGACTCTGAATCCAGGTTCATACAGGAGCACTTGATCAGGTAGCTGGCATGGGGCACATGTATGTAAATAAACAGCATGAATGAAAATAAACCACAATTCATTTATATTTAACACACACACAGCAAGAGTGGAAAACAACCTTCTGTCCAAGTGCTTCGAAAAGATTCAACAGCCATTGATACATTTCATGCTGTTGCTTGACAGATCAAGGCATTGCAAATATTTGATGTTTCTAAATAATTATTTTTATGGCTGCTAATGGAAAACAAGGTTCAAAACACATAGCAGAGCACTGCTCAGAGGCTTAGCCTTAATAGAAAGTCCAGAGCAAGAGCATTAATTTGAACAGAACAAGTATTCTTGTCTTCTACTTTATTTGAGAGTTCAAGAGATGATATTTTACAATTACTGTTGCCTTGGATGCTGCCTTTACTGTGTAGATTTCTGCTACCAGCTAGGCGTCATGGGTCATAGGGTAAGTGTATTTTTAAGTCAACAGAAATGCTGACACTCTCAGAATGGGGGCTGAGTATTTACTATGAACTGTAGTTCTTTATTGGGTCAGGTGCTTTTGCAGTAAAAGTGGCTTTACAAATATCCTGGTCTCATCAAAGGCAACCTGGTAAATGTTCCTTTCTCAGCAGTAGTGCAATAGCATCCTCACTTATAAACCTGTTCTTTAGCGCAATTTCAAAACCTTCTGTTTTCTGTCCATTTATAGATGGTACCAAGCTTCACATCAGGCTTTTTCCCCTTTGGGCTTCAGATGGCCCTCATGCAGCTTTAACAAGACCTTGGAAGAACCTAGCTCAAAGAGAGTGCAGTGTGCATCCACATCTGCTTGATGAGTAGATGAGAGCCAATGCTAATGGTGTTTTTCAGACATTCAAAGGAGTTTCAACAACAGACATTGTTTCATGCTGAGTCTTTAGGGCAAAATGCAAGCATTTGGAGAAACTTCGTACAAAAAAATATTCGAAATTTTAACCGCAAGTGTATTACATCTTTAACCATAAAACAAAACCATAAAATGTCCATGAAAGGATCCAAGACACCCTTGAAAAATGCCCTTCAAAAATTAATCTCTTATTTTTTTCTGCAAGCCATTAGCTAATAAGAGGAAATGGATGCTTTGGATGATTTTTTATTTTATTTTATTTTATCTTTTTTTGATTGTCAAATACCTTCTTTTAATAAAAGGGCTTTTTTCTTTTTTGTAATTTTATTTTATTATTATTATACCTTAAGTTTTAGGGTACATGTGCACAATGTGCAGGTTTGTTACCTATGTATACATGTGCCATGCTGGTGTGCTGCACCCATTAACTCGTCATTAAGCATTAGGTATATCTCCTAAAGCTATCCCTCCCCACTCCCCCAACCCGACAACAGTCCCCAGAGTGTGATGTTCCCCTTCCTGTGTCCATGTGATCTCATTGTTCAATTCCCACCTATGAGTGAGAATATGCGGTGTTTGGTTTTTTGTTCTTGCGATAGTTTACTGAGAATGATGATTTCCAATTTCATCCATGTCCCTACAAAGGACATGAACTCATCATTTTTTATGGCTGCATAGTATTCCACGGTGTATATGTGCCACATTTTCTTAATCCAGTCTATCATTGTTGGACATTTGGGTTGGTTCCAAGTCTTTGCTATTGTGAATAGTGCCGCAATAAACATACGTGTGAATATGTCTTTGTAGCACCATGATTTATAGTCCTTTGGGTATATACCCAGTAATGGGATGGCTGGGTCAAATGGTATTTCTAGTTCCAGATCCCTGAGGAAAAGCCACACTGACTTCCACAATGGTTGAACTAGTTTACAGTCCCACCAACAGTGTAAAAGTGTTCCTATTTCTCCACATCCTCTCCAGCACCTGTTGTTTCCTGACTTTTTAATGATTGCCATTCTAACTGGTGTGAGATGGTATCTCATTGTGGTTTTGATTTGCATTTGTCTGATGGCCAGTGATGGTGAGCATTTTTTCATGTGTTTTTTGGCTGCATAAATGCCTTCTTTTGAGAAGTGTCTGTTCATGTCCTTCGCCCACTTTTTGATGGGGTTGTTTGTTTTTTTCTTGTAAATTTGTTTGAGTTCATTGTAGATTCTGGATATTAGCCCTTTGTCAGATGAGTAGGTTGCGAAAATTTTCTCCCATTTTGTAGGTTGCCTGTTCACTCTGATAGTAGTTTCTTTTGCTGTGCAGAAACTGTTTAGTTTAATTAGATCCCATTTGTCAATTTTGGCTTTTGTTGCCATTGCTTTTGGTGTTTTAGACATGAAGTCCTTGCCCATGCCTATGTCCTGAATGGTAATGCCTAGGTTTTCTTCTAGGGTTTTTATGATTTTAGGTCTAACGTTTAAGTCTTTAATACATCTTGAATTAATTTTTGTATAAGGTGTAAGGAAGGGATCCAGTTTCAGCTTTCTACATATGGCTAGCCAGTTTTCCCAGCACCATTTATTAAACAGGGAATCCTTTCCCCATTTCTTGTTTTTCTCAGGTTTGTCAAAGATCAGATAGTTGTAGATATGAGGTGTTATTTCTGAGGGCTCTGTTCTGTTTCATTGATCTATATCTCTGTTTTGGTACCAGTACCATGCTGTTTTGGTTACTGTAGCCTTGTAGTATAGTTTGAAGTCAGGTAGCGTGATGCCTCCAGCTTTGTTCTTTTGGCTTAGGATTGACTTGGCGATGCGGGCTCTTTTCTTGGCGCCATATGAACTTTAAAGTAGTTTTTTCCAATTCTGTGAAAAAAGTCATTGGTAGCTTGATGGGGATGGCATTGAATCTATAAATTACCTTGGGCAGTATGGCCATTTTCACAATATTGATTCCTCCTACCCATGAGCATGGAATGTTCTTCCATTTGTTTGTATCCTCTTTTATTTCATTGAGCAGTGGTTTGTAGTTCTCCTTGAAGAGGTCCTTCACGTCCCTTGTAAGTTGGATTCCTAGGTATTTTATTCTCTTTGAAGCAATTGTGAATGGGAGTTCACTCATGATTTGGCTCTCTATTTGTCTGTTATTGGTGTATAAGAATGCTTGTGATTTTTGTACATTGATTTTGTATCCTGAGACTTTGCTGAAGTTGCTTATCAGCTTAAGGAGATTTTGGGCTGAGACAATGGGGTTTTCTAGATATACAGTCATGTCACCTGCAAACAGGGACAATTTGACTTCCTCTTTTCCTAATTGAATGCCCTTTATTTCCTTCTCCTGCCTAATTTCCCTGGCCAGAACTTCCAACACTATGTTGAATAGGAGTGGTGAGAGAGGGCATCCCTGTCTTGTGCCAGTTTTCAAAGGGAATGCTTCCAGTTTTTGTCCATTCAGCATGATATTGGCTGTGGGTTTGTCATAGATAGCTCTTATTATTTTGAGATACGTCCCATCAATACCTAATTTATTGAGAGTTTTTAGCATGAAGGGTTGTTGAATTTTGTCAAAGGCCTTTTCTGCATCTATTGAGATAATCATGTGGTTTTTGTCTTTGGCTCTGTTTATATGCTGGATTACGTTTATTGATTTGCGTATATTGAACCAGCCTTGCATCCCAGGGATGAAGCCCACTTGATCATGGTGGATAAGCTTTTTGATGTGCTGCTGGATTCAGTTTGCCAGTATTTTATTGAGGATTTTTGCATCAATGTTCATCAGGGTTATTGGTCTAAAATTCTCTTTTTTGGTTGTGTCTCTACAAGGCTTTGGTATCAGGATGATGCTGGCCTCATAAAATGAGTTAGGGAAGATTCCCTCTTTTTCTGTTGATTGGAATAGTTTCAGAAGGAATGGTACCAGTTCCTCCTTGTACCTCTGGTAGAATTCAGCTGTGAATCCATCTGGTTCTGTACTCTTTTTGGTTGGTAGCTATTGATTATTGCCACAATTTCAGCTCCTGTTATTGGTCTATTCAGAGATTCAACTTCTTCCTGGTTTAGTCTTGGGAGAGTGTATGTGTCCAGGAATTTATCCATTTCTTCTAGATTTTCTAGTTTATTTGCGTAGAGGTGTTTGTAGTATTCTCTGATGGTAGTTTGTATTTCTGTGGGATCGGTGGTGATATCCCCTTTATCATTTTTTATTGCGTCTATTTGATTCTTCTCTCTTTTCTTCATTAGTCTTGCTAGCAGTCTATCAATTTTGTTGATCCTTTCAAAAAACCAGCTCCTGGATTCATTAATTTTTTGAAGGGTTTTTTGTATCTCTATTTCCTTCAGTTCTGCTCTGATTTTAGTTATTTCTTGCCTTCTGCTAGCTTTTGAATGTGTTTGCTATTGCTTTTCTAGTTCTTTTAATTGTGATGTTAGGGTGTCAATTTTGGATCTTTCCTGCTTTCTCTTGTGGGCATTTAGTGCTATAAATTTCCCTCTACACACTGCTTTGAATGTGTCCCAGAGATTCTGGTGTGTTGCGTCTTTGTTCTCATTGATTTCAAAGAACATCTTTATTTCTGCCTTCATTTCGTTATGTACCCAGTAGTCATTCAGGAGCAGGTTGTTCAGTTTCCATGTAATTGAGCGGTTTTGAGTGAGTTTCTTCATCCTGAGTTGTAGTTTGATTGCACTGTGTTCTGAGAGACAGTTTGTTGGAATTTCTGAGTTTTTACATTTGCTGAGGAGAGCTTTACTTCCAACTATGTGGTCAATTTTGGAATAGGTGTGGTGTGGTGCTGAAAAAAATGTATATTCTGTTGATTTGGAGTGGAGAGTTCTGTAGATGTCTATTAGGTCCGCTTGGTGCAGAGCTGAGTTCAATTCCTGGGTATTCTTGTTACCTTTCTGTCTCGTTGATCTGTCTAATGTTGACAGTGGGGTGTTAAAGTCTCCCATTATTATTGTGTGGGAGTCGAAGTCTCTCGGTAGGTCACTCAGGACTTGCTTTATGAATCTGGGTGCTCATGTATTGGGTGCATATATATTTAGGATAGTTAGCTCTTCTTGTTGAATTGATCCCTTTACCATTATGTAATGGCCTTCTTTGTCTCTTTTGATCTTTGTTGGTTTAAAGTCTGTTTTATCAGAGACTAGGATTGCAACTCCTGCCTTTTTTTGTTTTCCATTTGCTTGGTAGATCTTCCTCCATCCTTTTATTTTGAGCCTATTTGTGTCTCTGCACGTGAGATGGGTTTCCTGAATACAGCACACTGATGGGTCTTGACTCTTTATCCAATTTGCCAGTCTGTGTCTTTTAATTGGAGCATTTAGTCCATTTACATTTAAAATTAATATTGTTATGTGTGAATTTGATCCTGTCATTATGATGTTAGCTGGTTATTTTGCTCGTTAGTTGATGCAGTTTCTTCCAAGCCTCAATGGTCTTTACCATTTGTCATGATTTTGCAGTGGCTGGTACCGGTTGTTCCTTTCCATGTTTAGTGCTTCCTGCAGGAGCTCTTTTAGGGCAGGCCTGGTGGTGACAAAATCTCTCAGCATTTGCTTGTCTGTAAAGTATTTTATTTCTCCTTCACTTATGAAGCTTAGTTTGGCTGGATATGAAATTCTGGGTTGAAAATTCTTTTCTTTAAGAATGTTGAATATTGGACTCCACTCTCTTCTGGCTTGTAGAATTTCTGCCGAGAGATCAGCTGTTAGTCTGATGGGCTTCCCTTTGTGAGTAACCCGACCTTTCTCTCTGGCTGCCCTTAACATTTTTTCCTTCATTTCAACTTTGGTGAATCTGACAATTATGTGTGTTGGAGTTGCTCTTCTCGAGGAATATCTTTGTGGCGTTCTCTGTATTTCCTGAATCTGAATGTTGGCCTGCCTTGCTAGATTGGGGAAGTTCTCCTGGATAATATCCTGCAGAGTGTTTTCCAACTTGGTTCCATTCTCCCCGTCACTTTCAGGTACACCAATCAGACGTAGATTTGGTCTTTTCACATAGTCCCATATTTCTTGGAGACTTTGTTCCTTTCTTTTTATTCTTTTTTCTCTAAACTTCCCTTCTGGCTTCATTTCATTCATTTCATCTTCCATCACTGATACCCTTTCTTCCAGTTGATCACATCGGCTCCTGACGCTTCTGCATTCTTCACGTAGTTCTCGAGCCTTGGCTTTCAGCTCCATCAGCTCCTTTAAGCACTTCTCTGTATTGGTTATTCGAGTTGTACATTTGTCTAAATTTTTTTCAAAGTTTTCAACTTCTTTGCCTTTGGTTTGAATTTCCTCCTGTAGCTCGGAGTAGTTTGATCGTCTGAAACCTTCTTCTCTCAACTCGTCAAAGTCATTCTCTGTCCAGCTTTGTTTCGTTGCTGGTGAGGAGCTGCGTTCCTTTGGAGGAGGAGAAGTGCTCTGCTTTTTAGAGTTTCCAGTTTTTCTGCTGTGTTTTTTCCCCATCTTTGTGGTTTTATCTACTTTTGGTCTTTGATGATGGTGATGTACAGATGGGTTTTTGGTGTGGATGGCCTTTCTGTTTGTTAGTTTTCCTTCTAACAGACAGGACCGTCAGCTGCAGGTCTGTTGGAGTTTGCTAGAGGTCCACTCCAGAGCCTGTTTGCCTGGGTACCAGCAGCGGTGGCTGCAGAAGAGCAGATTTTCGTGAACCGCGAATGCTGCTGTCTGATCGTTCCTCTGGAAGTTTTGTCTCAGAGGAGTACCCGGCCGTGTGAGGTGTCAATTTGCCCCTACTGGGGGGTGCCTCCCAGTTAGGCTGCTCGGGGGTCAGGGGTCAGGGACCCACTTGAGGAGGCAGTCTGCCCGTTCTCAGATCTCCAGCTGTGTGCTGGGAGAACCACTGCTCTCTTCAAAGCTGTCAGACAGGGACATTTAAGTCTGCAGAGGTTACTGCTGTCTTTTTGTTTGTCTGTGCCCTCCTCCCAGAGGTGGAGCCTACAGAGGCAGGCAGGCCTCCTTGAGCTGTGGTGGGCTCCACCCAGTTCAAGCTTCCTGGCTGCTTTTTTTTACCTAAGCAAGTCTGGGCAATGGCAGGCACCCCTCCCCCAGCCTCGCTGCCGCCTTGCAGTTTGATCTCAGACTGCTGTGCTAGCAATCAGCGAGACTCCGTTGGCGTAGGACCCTGTGAGCCACGTGCGGGATATAATCTCCTGGTGCGCCATTTTTTAAGCCCATCGGAAAAGCGCAGTATTAGGGTGGGAGTGACCCGATTTTCCAGGTGCCGTCTGTCACCCCTTTCTTTGACTAGGAAAGGGAACTCCCTGACCCCTTGCGCTTCCTGAATGAGGCAATGCCTCGCCCTGCTTCGGCTTGTGCACGGTGTGCTGCACCCACTGTCCTGCGCCCACTGTCTGGCACTCCCTAGTGAGATGAACCTGGTACCTCAGGTGGAAATGTAGAAATCACCCATCTTCTGCGTCACTCATGCTGGTAGCTATAGACTGGAGCTGTTCCTATTCGGCCATCTTTACTCCAGCCTGGATGATTTAATGTGTTCCATCTATCTGTTTTGCCTGTGTTTTTAACCACCAAAGACTAAATTAACCACAAAAATATAAAAGGAAAGTTGCATTCACAACATGTTAATTAACATAATTAACTTAAAACATCAATTATGGCCGGGCGCGGTGGCTCACGCCTGTAATCCCAGCACTTTGGGAGGCCGAGGCGGGTGGATCATGAGGTCAGGAGATCGAGACCATCCTGGCTAACAAGGTGAAACCCCGTCTCTACTAAAAATACAAAAAATTAGCCCGGCGCGGTGGCGGGCGCCTGTAGTCCCAGCTACTCGGGAGGCTGAGGCAGGAGAATGGCGTGAACCCGGGAAGCGGAGCTTGCAGTGAGCCGAGATTGCGCCACTGCAGTCCGCAGTCCGGCCTGGGCGACAGAGCGAGACTCCGTCTCAAAAAAAAAAAAAAAAAACATCAATTATGTTTACATTTCATGAATGCTGGCAAAGAGGTAAGAGACATTTATGGTGATGGGAACCAAGGTTTCTTCCTTTTATGAGTAAGATGACTATTAAGAATATTTTATTTCTGACATAGTCATCAAAAGTTTGGAAAGAAAGGATGGCCTTAAGTGATATTGTCAAAGAAGAGATACATGTCATTCTGAGGCCCCCAATATATATAACCTGGTAGATAAACTGAAGGTTATCTACGAAGACAGACTTTCAGCAATGATAGAACTTGAGATGGGTTGGTGACCGATACCTATGAACAATCACCAAGGAAGAAAATTTAAACAGGCATTATAGATTGCAAAAATATGGAACCAACCTTAGTGCCCTTCAACCAATGAATGGTTAAAGAAAATGTGGAATATATATGCCATGGAATACTACTCAGCCAAAAAAAGGAATGAAATAATGTCTTTTGCAGCAACTTGGATGGAGCTGGAGGTATTATTCTAAGTGAAGTAACTCACGAATGGAAAAGCAAACATCATATGTTTTGACTTATAAGTGGAAGCTAAGCTATGAGGATGAAAAAGCGTAAGAATGATATAATGGACTTTGGAGATTCTGGGGGGAAGATGTGGAGGGGAATGAGGGATAAAAGACTACATATTGGGCATAATGTACACTGCTCGGGTGACCAGTGCACTAAAATCTCAGACATCCCCACTGAAGAACTTATCCCTGAAACCAAAAAGCACTTGTATTCCAAAAACTATTGAAATAAAAATTAAAATTAAAAACAAAGCAGAGGTGCTTTGTGCTGGAGCTTTTCTTATGTCCCAAATCATTTGGATTATTGAGCAGGAAAGGAGAAGCTAAATTTAAAAGTGGTGTATGTGTGTGTGCATGCACATGCACACATGTATGTATATAAAACGATGTTAGGGCCTTGAAAAACTATGAAAATATTTCAGTTATAAATTTCCAGATTAAATCTCTAGTGGAGTAGAGGGTAGATCAAGGCTGAGAAAATTTTCCAGAAGCTTGAGAGACAGAATAAATACCCCTGGGATTATCTAGTGTGGAGCCTCCTGCATAGCTGTGGGCAGAGCTGAAGATCATCTACTTAATTTGGGGAATGGTGGAGCTTACATTCTGACACACCCACTGGGTCAGGGCAGTCCATTGAAGGAACAGGTGCATCTATGTGTATGATGAAAATAATCTGTCCAGAATCTGGAACATGCTACCTGAATGTAAGTAAGAAAATGATCTTTTCATGAGATTTACAGAAGGTGTGCCTGTTATCAGTGTATTGCTCCTTGGCTCCTCATCCACCCTTGATTGTCTGCTGGCAATATCAGAAGCTTTCTCCCTTGACAGCTGGCAGGATGCCATGGAGGGTGTTGGAAGGATACTGAGGAGAAAGGGGCTTCTGGTTTACCCGTGCTTTTCTTTCTCCTTGCTCTGTGGTGCTGAGCTGGTGCACAGGATGCCTGTGGAGCTCTCTGCGTTTGGCATCAGTGGAACTGTTAGTGGCTTCAGTGGAACTGTTGTTAGTGACTTCAGTGGAACTGTTGTTAGTGGCTTCAGTGGAACTGTTAGTGGCTTCACACGTTCCACAGATGCCCCTATTGGTGGTTTCCCAGGGGATGCCCATGGTGCCTTCCCAGTAAGTTGTACAGATGACCCAGCCAATTTCCCAAGAATTGCAACAGTAATTCGCCCTTCCCAGTGGCCCCTGGTGAATGTTACTGGCTGTTCTCTGACCACCACCAGCCTTGGCCATCAAATAAGTACCAGCTGTGACCCAGAACAACCCAGCAAACTCCTTCATGTTCAGTGGGCCGCACACCTTCTCTCCTGGGCGTTCCCAGTCATGGGGGTGGGGGATGCTCGCTTTTCCTGTTTATTCTTTCCATGGAAACTCTCTTAGTTGGCTTGAGCTGCCATAGCAAAATTCCACAGACAAGGTGGCTTCAACAACATACATTTATTTTCTCGTGGTTCTGGAGGCCAAAAGCCCATGAACAAGGTGCCAGTAAACTTAGTTTCTGAGAACAGCTTTCTCCCTGACTTGCAGATGACTTCCTTCTCTCTGTGTTCTCCCAGGGCCTTCCTCCTGTGCATGTGTTCTGTGTCCTAAGCTCCTCTTCCTATAAGGATAGCACACCAGTCATACTGGATTAAGGCCCTTCCCTTATGAATCCATTGAAACTTCCTGGCCTCGGCTGGGCACAGTGGCTTACACCTGTAATCCCAGCACTTTGGGAGGCTGAGGTGGGTGGATCACCTGAGGTCAGAAGTTCGAGACCAGCCTGGCCAACGTGGTGAAACCCCGTGCCTACTAAAAATAAAAAAAAAATTAGCCAGGCATGGTGGCAGGCACCTGTCATCCCAGCTACTTGGGAGACTGAGGCAGGAGAATCACTTGAACCCAGGAGGGGGAGGTTGCAGTGAGGCGAGATCGCCCCATTGCATTCCAGCCTGGGCGACAGAGCAAAACTCTGTCTCAGCAAAATGAAATAAATAAAATAATAATAAAATAAAAAGTAAACTTACTGGCCTCCATAGAGGTCCTGTCTCCAAATACAGTCACGTTGAGGGGGCTGGGGCTTCAACATATGCCTACTGGGAAGACACAATTCAGTCCTTAACAGGCATTCTCTCTCAACTGTAGGCTAGTCTTAGGCATTCTCTGTTATTTCCATTTGGTAATTCCTCTAAATAGTTAACAGTTCTTCATGTCAAACCTCTCCTGTACAAATGACTTTGTGGTCACTGCCTCCTTGCAGGACTTGACTGAAATAGCAGGTAAGGCAATGTCTCAACAGACCCCGTCTCCCTTCTTATAACAGCTTTGTGTATAGAAATGGGCATTGGCTTTGCCCCCTTCTGATATCCCATGTAGTTACTCCGAGGGTGCTGGCTTTAACCTAAGCCTGTAGACCTGATTTCATATTTAATCTATATCTATCCTGAGACAGGATTCAATCACACATGAGCAGCTACCTAAACTTGCTAATGAAGCCATTGCCATGGCCTACTTGGCCTCCTCCTCTGGAATCCTTTGATACTTTGGTTGAGCCAAAGTAAATTCAGCTTGATGTCCTGCCATCACACAGTGACAGCAAATAGGATGACTGTTTAGAAATGTGTAATCCTACGTCCTGTTTGCCTTGCTGAACGCTCCAAAAATCATTTAAGGAGTTAGGACCACTGTGTCTCTCTCAGAAATGAGCTAGTTATGCTAGGATTTCCTTCCCTGATCAAGTCACTGCAAAATGACTAAGGTCCAACGTGAGTCTGTCTGACCCTGCTCTGCATTTGCAAGTGGCTTCTTGGCCGAGCCAATTAAGGAAGAACCCTATGAGCTCACAGAGGCCTGCTGGTGTGTCAGGGAAATTTCTTCCTTCAGCGCTTTTTAAAAGGGGTTTATATCTGCCTTTCCAATGGCATTCACTTTAACAATGCAGAAAATATGCCTTGTGTTCGTTTCTTTACAATCACCTCCCCAGCCCCCAAATTTATATGAAATAATTTAGGGCCTTTATGCATTGTTTGATTTGGCATAAGTAGTACTTATTAGTATCAGAAAAAAAAAACCTCTTTCATTCTCTCTCTTTTTCTTTCTCTCTTTCCTTTCTTTCGCTTTCACCTTCCTTTCTTCCTTGCTTCATTTCTTCCTTTCCTCCTTCTCCTTCCTTTCTTTCCTCCTCCCTTCTTTCTTTCCTCCTCCCTTCCTTCCCTCCCTCCCTCCCCTCTCCCCTCCCCTCCCGTCCACTCCCCTTCCTTCCTTCCTTCCTTCCTTCCTTCCTTCCTTCCTTCCTTCCCTCTTTCCTCCCTCCCTCCCTCCCTCTCTTCCTTCCTTCTTTCTTCTTTAAAATAACATATTACCATCCTTAGAGGACAGTGGCTTCCAGTAACTAAAGGCCCATTTTGAGGGCCCAAGCAAGATTGGAGGAGTTGGGATAGAGTGCAATGCCCCCATGTGAGAAAATGGTAAATTGGGAGAGCTTGGAGCGGGATTGGATCTGGGAGCTGCACTTGTCAGTGACGTGAGGCAGGAACTCAAAAGGGGAAGGGAAAACCATGACTCAGCTTCTTGCTCCAATCAGTTCAGCAACGTGGCCAGATCCTTGGATGAAGAAAGGCATCCAAGGAGGTTTGCAAGGTAATTTGCTGTGAGGGAAAAAATAAAAATAAAAAAACAAAGCCTCGCCTCCACCTTGCCTTCTAAATCTTCAGCAAATTCTATATGGTTCGTTAGTGTTTCTAGAGCTGGAAGCCATTTTGGAGGTCTGCATCCTGGCACTGGGATTGGCTTCTGTTCGGCTCTGGGTTGAAACAGACTCCGGACAGGGGCAGCCCACATCTGCAGCATCACAGAGGGGAGGAGACGTGGGAACGGGAACTCTAACCTGCTCCTGCCACGTGCTAGTTGGTAAGGCAGGTGGCCTCACTGCTCTGTGTCACCATTTTAATTTCCTCATCCATAACATGAAAATAATATCATAACAATTACCTCAGGGTTGTGAGATATAAGTGTTAACACACATATTCAGGCATAAACTGACACACAGTGGGCACCTAATAGGTGTTGCATCTATTTTAGTTTTGTGTGCTTTTGAATGATGGAATGGTTTGACCCTAGTCATTAATTTATTTCAATATATTTATTCTCTTCTTCAGCACATTTGTTGATTCAACAGACTTACAAATAAAAGCAAGAGCTATGTAGCACATAAACACTGTATCTGCCTAATGAAGCCAAATCTCTGACTACCGTTTAAGTCACTTAAAACCTGATATAGTTGCAAGTTCATTTGTTTATTCAATGAGCCTGTTTTCTGTGCCTAATATCTAGATATTTTGCTAACTATTATAATATCATTAAGTCAGATTATGCTTCTTGGAAATTGCTCTGATGGTTGTATTAAAAGAAAATGTAAGTGAAATCTGAACTAGAAGTTTCTTGGTTTTGCTAAGTTTAGAAAACTTAATTCAGTAAAACAAATAGTGAGAAAGTCATGTTATTAGGAAGGAGAAAAGAAAGACACTAATTCATGACTACGTTTTCATGCTTACCTGAAATCTAATCACAAGGCAAAAATACTATCACATTTACATTATAAATGTGAGAAAACTGGCTTCCCTGGCTTTAAAATTAGGCATACAAGCACCAAGCAAGTTTCACCTATGAAAGGGAATCTCTGAGAATGCTGGACACTCTTATTTCATTCTTGTTTCTGTTTCTTGCTTCTTGCTCTGGTCACCATTAACCCAGTTTCTCATCTTTTGGTATCAGATTCTGTTGTCAGGAGCTCTTCTGCTGGACCTAATAACAGATTTGATTTCTTTGATTCTGACCTTCTTCTCTCGTCTTTCTCTTCTGGATGCTCTGAGGAGTCACTTCCTTGAAGAAACCACATCTTTCCCCCTTTTCTGGTATCAGTCCATTTGAATGACCCTATGCCCCAGTCTCTCTATGCTCCTTTCAAAAAAAGGATAGAAAAGACATCAAATATCATTTTTGAAATATGCATCATACACGAATCTGCACTCTATTTTTAAGACACTCAAAATAATTAGATTATTTTAGTCATGACAAAATCAATTTCAAATGCTGAAAGGTATCTAAATATGAGTATCACGGGGCCTCTTCTGTTTCACATAACAACATATAAACTACTTGATGGGAAGTTGCCAATGTGTGTGACCAAAGAATCAAATAACTTTAGATAAATCATTTTATTCCCAGACACACATCTAAGAAGGAAGGTTTATGGAGCTGAAAATGTTGCAAGTTTTATTTTCAATGAACATTCAAACCAAAGGGAAAAATACAAAGAAAAACACAAGATCCAACAAAACAAAATCCCAGCAGCATAGGATGTCATAACCTTGGAGAAGAAAACACGATAAAAATGTCAGAAGCATTTATTTTGTCCTGATGAAGGTTTTATAATCTGTTTGGTGTCATACTGCTGCATTCCTCTTACCTTTGAAAATTAGACCTACTGGATCCGCCCTTCTAATTTCCAGAATCTAGGACTAGTTTTGTCTTGAGGCAGGAAATATATAGGTAGCACTGGTTTTCTTACCAGTGACCTCATATCAAAGCCCCGATGAAGATCAAGCATCCGTGAGAATGACATGGCAGGCAGGGTGAGGGCTCCTCACTTAATTGATCCTTAACCCAGCAACTAAGTGCTTTCAGGATATGGATCAGAAGAAAGATCTAAGTCAGTGGACATGCCCCACACCACTGTTTTCTTTTTTTGTTTTGTTTTGTTCTGTTTTTTGAGATGGAGTCTTGCTCTGTCGCCCAGGCTGGAGTGCAGTGGCACAATCTCATCTCACTGCAACCTCCTCCTCCTGGGTTCAAGTGACTCTCATGTCTCAGCCTCCTGAGTAGGTGGGACTACAGGCACGCACCACCATGCTGGCTAATTTTTGTATTTTTAATAGAGATCGGGTTTTACCAGGTTGGCCAGGCTGATCTCGAACTCCTGACCTCAGGTGATCCGCCTGCCTTGGCCTCCAATGTGCTGGGATTACAGGCATGAGCCACCATGCCTGGCCCTGCTTTCTTAGTCCTATACGAAGCCAGTCCTGAATTTCAGTCATCAACTGATTCTACACGGAGTTAGGGATCTACCAAGTAAAAGGAACCTCAGAACACTTGGCTCACTGCTATCTATACCACCGAGGAGGCTTGAGTGGAAGCCAGTTCTCCCAGTAGCCAGAAAAAAGAAACATATATGGTATTCTGAAGTATCTTGCTACCACATACTGTTAGCAGGCATTCCTGGACTTAGAGCCAGCTTATACAGAGCCTTACACACCTGGAATCTGGTCTCTTCCTAAGACCATAATTGTTGTTCATAAGACCTTAATTTTCACCCATTACCTCAAGCCACTTAACTGTATTCCTATTCTGTTATCCGAAGCCTGAGTGCCTATCTCGGAAACTGGCTTACTATGCCAATACTGCTAGGGGTGGCCTTCTAATAACTCAGTCTTGTTGTCCTTAGCTCTTTCTCTGTTTTGCCTCTGAGAACAGGTATCCCATCCATAAAACCCAAACTCATGCTATGGCCCCTCTGCTTGTTGACTGATACAAATCAGCTGCTTGCCTTTCATACCTGCAAATGGTGGCTACATTAGAGGACCCCTTTCCAGGCTCTCAGGCAGGAAACGTTCCTGGATTCCAACATCTGTCTTCTTCTAGACTCCATGCAATGGCTGCCTGATGTCTGAACCTTGCAATCTTCCTGTGTCTTAATCCACCACTTCAGATTCAAGATTAAAACCAAGTGGGCTTGTATAAATGTTCCTCTAAGTGTCCAAGTTCTGAAAATCATATTGAAACTCCCTGTATGCCCTAGAAACTAGAATCTCTCTTCCCCAAGGTGGATCATATTAGTAGTAACTGGAATTCCTCCTTCCCGAAGCCAGCCACAAAACCCAGAAATATTACTTGAACCTTTCCCTGCATTTCTACCTAAGAGCTGGCCATAAAGAAATTATTTGACTTATTCCAGAGGGATCCTGCCCCATACCCAGGAGGAAGGAATGCTGCTCAGAGAGGCCAAGAAGAATCTAGACAGGCAGTCCCTGCTGGGTTACTCCCTTCCGTCTACTGCATTAGATCATCCATACCCCTTTAGTTCAATCACATTTCTACATGGATATGGATGTCCTTTCTTCACTGAACCTAAACATACAAATTGACAGTTTTGTCTATATCCTTGGTTCTCTTCATTCCAAAGGCTCTCATGTCACATAAAATTATGATCAAATACATTTGTTATGCTTTTCTCTTGTTAACCTGTTTTTGTTATAGGGGTATCATCTGTGACTCTTATGATGAGGAGGAAAGGGCTCACCTCCTTTCTGCCCCTATGGTTCCAAAATAGCCATGATTACAGGATGGTACAGGAGCTAGGGGACCAGTTCCTTTGCCACAATGTTACTAGAATGTTGAACGGAAGTGGGTTCAAAGGCACAGTGCATTGCAGGACCCACATATAATGAATCGGTTAACTTGGTCAAGGTTAAAACCACAAAGAAAAACACATTTTTTTTTTTAAGCCTGAGCTTATCAAATAGCCTGTCAATAGAGAGGTCTTTGTCTCACGGCCTTTCTGTATATTTCTTACCTGACAGCATCAGAAAGAGAGGGCCTCTTGCCTGAGAGTGCCATCAAGGTGGGACTGCTATTCTTAATCCCTTTCCCACTGATTTCTTCTTATTCATTGGCCTTCCTTTGTGTCTAAAGCTCTGATCTTTAGGACATTGGCTTTGTTGATACAGGAGCTAAAAAAGAAATTATTTAGGTTGATAGTGAGGGTAAGAGAGTCCTCGATAAGGTTTCTTTTTAATAAAAAGCAGCCCCCAAATCATTTCCTTTCTAACAGATAGCAGGCTGTAAAATTGAGCTGCAGACATAGGTAAGCAAGCTGGAAGCTTGCATAGGCAAATGCCAGAGCTGTGACAATAGAAAAGGGACACCTGGAAGCCAGGTATATTCAACATGGAGGTTCCCTCTTCCCTTTTTTTTGTCACTATGTGTGCAATAAAAAGGCAGGCACCATGACAATGGCCAGGTAGAGACTCTATCTGCATGATAAAAGATTAGGGTGAGATGGCCAGCCTCTTTGTGTGCTACGTAAATGACACCTGGTCTGACCAATCTTTTAGGCTCTAAGTAAATCAGATACCATCTCCTCAAGCTGGTCTATAAAACTCCCCGTGCATTTCACCACGGAACCAGAAGACCCTATGTGAATCCCCTCCCTCTCTGTAGCAGAGAGAGCTTTTTGCTTTTCGCTCACCTATTAAACCTCCACACCAAAACTCACTTCTTTTGTGTCTGCATCCTCGATTTCCTTGGCATAAGACAACGAGCCTCAAGTATTTGTCCCAGGCAATGACACCGCTTCATTGGAATGATTGTTTGGAGAGCATTCATTTTGAAGACAGGTAGACATGCCTGTCTCTGCCCCTTGCAAAGTTTGAACAATTGTAAACACTGTCTCTGCCCCTTGCAAAGTTTGAACAATTTCCCTAACCTTTTGTTTGAGGTAAGGAATCTCAGCTTCCTTACAAGTCAAATGAAGCTAAAAATAATGCTGTTGAGATAAGGCATAGTTATTGTTAAAGGGTTTAGCGTTGTTCTGATACATGCAGGATGCATCATAATTATTAGTTTCTTTTTCAAATTAGGATTGCTGAACAGATGTGCACCCAATTCCTGGAAATTTCTTCAGATCAAAACCCCTTTCAGATTTTCAGACAATAGGGCATCCTTTGACATTAATGGGGGTTTAGGACAACCCCAAAGACACAATCTGCAATTTCTCACTTTTAACATGTTTTATGCCACTGTCACTTTGCAACTGCTGCACAACCAAAGAGCTGTTACTCTTGCTTCAGGTGCAGTTTCAACATCAATACCTCTAAAGTACGTCTCCTCATCTGCCCTTTCCTTCACAGGGGAAGTTGCTCATTTCCTTCCCTATAATTCGCAAAATATGTATTCTCAAAATATGGTCCATCTGCATTATATACTTTGCATAACATATTTTGTAACACCTATCAAACTCTATTCAATTATTTTTACATGTCTACATATAGAACTTGTATTTTATGGCATGCCCATATCTGCAATATCTAGCTGCACACCTAATAACTGCTCAATAACTATTTGAGTAGGTAGATGAGCAAACGAAACATAAAAGAATGATTGTATGATTAGAGAAAATGAGTTTTTACTTGGTGCACAGTTCTTGCCAGAGTTAGGTGTCTTAGATACAGTCCTTTTGATGATGATAAATACAGCTAATAATAAATGCCACATAAATCAAAAGCAATAGATATTCAAAACTCCAAATCTTGAATTTATGAACTCTATAGATTTTCTGTACTAAAGTGGTTCCTAAAGTAAATGGATCTTTCACACTGAATTTGAGAGTTAAAGAGGAATGCTACTATACAGAGAGATTTGATAGATAGATAGATAGATATAGATAGATAATAGATAGACAGATAGATAGATATAACACTATTTAACCTGTTACTTTGACATAAGGAACAATAGTTACAGTTAGCAAATTATAATATGAGACCAGACAGCTGATTTCAGTATCTTCATGCCCAACTACCTGTTTTATCAATGTGATTTTCTCTTGTTAACTGCTGCCTAGTTAGATCTTAATCACTATTCAACTAATGCCACGTCATCTGTTATACATTAAGGTGTTTTATTTGTGAGTGATTTTTAATGAACTAATTCAAAGTGCTAGTTGGATATCTTTTGCCTGCATGTCTTATAGTAAAATTCTTCTGTTGCGTGTTTTCCATGAATCTTAGGGCTTCAGATACATTGTGCTTGTATGTTGAAACCTGATGCACTATTAATTAAATGAATAAAGCAAGACACAATTTAAATTTAGCTTTCTAAGCAAACCAAAGTGAAGGCAGCTGCGTCCCATTAGCTTCTGATTTTCTGCAAAATGGAGGGGGAATGGGATATAAAAAATAGTGTTGAAAATTGAGCAGCTTGTGGTTATGTTGCTATAGCTACCAGAGGCCTTTTTGATGCTTTATTGGGTTGGCAAAGAAATAGGCTGTTTGGAATAGTTTCACTAAACACTCTTATTCACTGAAATAGTGCTGACATTTGGCCATGAGCCTTCAGTTCCTCCACAGACTTAAAACATGGATGTGAAAGGAAAAAGGAAAAATTCAAATTAGCTCATGAACTCTGGATCCATTTTCCATTAACCAAAGGAGGGAAATCCGTCAGTTTAGGGACAAACATGAGGGTAGAAACATTCCAAATCACTTACATGCTACCTCTAGAAAGCTGATCGGGTGCCTCTGAATAAAAACAAACCCAACTGGGAGGCTATGTAGGAAGTGGAAATGATAATGCTTCACAGAACAGGGGATTGTCATATAGGAACCTTTCTAAAGAAAATCCGTCTGCTAGTTTGGCTCTATAGCTATCATGAGAAATACGTCCAAGAGGAAATAATCAGATAGGGAGAAGGCATACATTGCTCCACTCCTCAAAAATAAATGCAAAGGTTAAATGTTTCTTTTCTGAGAATTTCTATAGCAACATATAGAGTTGTTTTAATGACCACTAATTTTTAAAACATTATTTTAAGTTCAGGGGTGCAGGTGAAGGTTTGTTACATAGGCAAACCTGTGTCATGGGTATTGGTTTTACAGATTATTTTATCACCCAGGTATTAAGCCTAGTACCCATTAGTTATTTTTTCTGATCCTCTCCCTCCTCTCAGCCTCCAACCTCCAATAGGCCCCAGTGTGTGTTGTTCCCTTCTATGTGTCCCTGTGTTCTCATCATTTACCTCCCAGTTATAAGAGTGGAGATTCTTCAGAGACCTAAAGAAAGAAATACCATTTGACCCAGCAATCCCATTACTGGGTATATACCCAAAGGAATAGAAATCATTCTATTACAAAGACACATGCATGCATATGATCACTGCAGCACTATGCACAATAGCAAAGACAGGGAATCAACCTAAATGCCCACCGGTGATAGACTGGATAAAGAAAATGTGGTTGCATATACACCATGGAATACTATGCAGCCATAAAAAGGAATGAGAACGTGTCCTTTGCAGGGACATGGATGGAGCTGGAGGCCACTGTCCTTAGCAAACTAATGCAGTGACAGAAAACCAAATACCACGTGATAACTAATTTTCTAGAAGATTACATCATGAACACAGGGAAGTTACACTTATCCCAAGAATACTTGGTAGTATATTGTGTTCTTTTCAAATGAACACCAACAGTCCCTTCAGTCTGCCATTTATTTTTATGAGAGATATGCCTTACCTATAAAACAGCAACACAGCCAAAGCCTCTAAGAGTTTAGCATAAAGAGGACATTGCAGGCTGGCAGGGGGCAAGGACACTGCAGGCTGGCAGGGGAGCGAGGACACTGCAGGCTGGCAGGGGGGCAGGGCCACATGACCCAGAATTCCTTTCCCTTCAGTTTGCTTCCTCTGAGCTTTTCTGCTGTGATTGAAATCACAAACCCCAACTGGCCCCCAAAACAGCTTTCTTTAAGGCCCAGGTTCAAGTACGAACTACTTGTCACACTATATCTTTGTAAATATTTGTAAAATAAAATAATTGTGAATTACTCCATTCATGTTTAGGTCACTGTTTTTTGTTGTTGTTGTTGTTGTTTTTGAGATGGAGTCTCACTCTGTCGCCCATCCTGGAGGGCAGTGGTGCAATTTCAGCTCACTGTAACCTCCACCTCCTGGGTTCAAGTTATTCTCCTGCCTCAGCCTCCCGAGTAGCTGGGGTTACAGGCGTGCGCCACCACACCTGACTAATTTTTTTGTATTTTTAGTAGAGATGGGGTTTCACCATGTTGGTCAAGCTGGTCTCGAACTCCTGACCTCATGATCTGCCTGCCTCTGCCTCCCAAAGTGCTGGGATTACAGGCATGAGCCACCGCGCCCGGCCTAGGTCAATTAAGGACAATTCCCACACCGCAAGCCACCTCTCCTCTGAGAGGCACGCTTCTTTCTAGGATTTTGGTGATTCACCCCATGGATGACTTCACCTTTTCCCTTTGACATAGAAAGTGTTATTTAATTCCACTAAAATAAAGAACATCCTACCATCATTATGGCATCTGTAGAACAAGAATGTTACCCATAGACAACAGCAGGGCTTTATCAGCACGCTCTTCTCCCTTGTTTGCAACGACAGCAGCAGCTACATGCAAGATCAGTAAATGGAGCTGCCTCGTTCCCACAATCCCATTGTCATGACTGAATGATGAATAAAAAGGAGTGGAGTTTTTATTTTTTGATGACAGGATAATGGCAAAGCACAGTCACGTCTGTTTGCCCATTGGAGTTGTTGCCTTCAGTATAACTCTAATGCAAAGTTCAGAAGTTTTAAACCAATTTATTTTCTAACTAAACATACCACAGTAGGAGGGAGACAAGAAAAATAAAATAAAAGGTAAAGAATATCATTACTGGTATTATCCTATAAAAATAAAGTAAGCTATACTTGTACTCTGTTACCAGCTTTTCAATAGACAAATTATATGTTAGAAATTATTTTTCTTCCTAATTCTCTCTCTCTCTCTCTCTCTCTCTCTCTCTCTCCACTCTCCTTTTCTAATTAGGAGGAAATAACTTATGTAAAAGTTCACACCTAGCCATAGCAGTTGATTAGTGAACACAGACATAGATTATATTTATTGCTAATTTATTTCCTTCCTTTTTTTGCAAGACAATTTTAAATGAATCCGATACCAATGAATTATAGCAGCTTGTACATTAAAAGATTCATGATTCAATTAATGCCAGATTATAAGGAAGCAAACTTTGACAACAACAAATTGTTGAAGGTTTACTTTTGTTCAGAGATATGCCACTGGTAAATGTTTATTTGAATATATGCATGTGTGTTATCATAATGTGCATTGCTTACTTAACAAGTAATATTTAAGAAATGTTGCAAGGGTAATTTAGAAATAAAATGTGGGCCTTTCTTCCATAGAAATGTTATAATTGTTCTGTTGGTATATAATTTTTCAACAGTAGAGTTTCTGCTCTGGCAACCTGATATTTACATGTGAACTACACTACATTATCAGATCATTAGAGAATTTGAGTGGCTCTAAAATTACAACATGCAAAAATGTGGACGTGAAGATTCAGGGTAACAATTTCAGTGCTTCTTGAACTACAGCTGAAGTAATCACAGTACCAGAAACGTCCACATTTTTTGCTTCAGAATAGCAATTAAGCAAGCACTGCTCTTTAACTAAGATGAGTAAGTAAGGCCAGACAATGTATTGGTTTTGTTTGTGGTGTGTGTGTGTGTGTGTGCGCGCGCACGCCAGTGTGTTTGTGTTGTTGTTTGCTTAATTCTAGAGGAAGTGCTAGATGATAGAAGCAAAGGATGTTAATGTTTCCCTAAAGAATTTCCTTTCCATACGTTTCAGACTAATACAAAAAAGAACAATTTTATAGGTCTTAGATCCACTGATTGGAAATATATGGAGAGTTTGTGTGTATTCTTGATGTCATTCACTTTGCTCTATTAAAAAATATGACCCATGTACTTTAAATTGCTGGCCATATGAAACATCCTTAAAAAGGCGTAATGGTGATGTACTATTTGTTTTTAAAACAGGGGTGCAAGAGGGTGGGCAGAATAGGGCAGAAGTCAGATCTTAGTTTTGCCTCCACTGTTGACCAGCTCTGGGATCTTGAATAAGTCATTTTAACTCCCTGAAACTCAGTCAGTGTCCTTAATTATGAATGTAGAAAAACATATATTGCTCTTAACTTCTCTCTCTCTGTCTATACATATATACACATATACTCGTGTGTATATACGCATATATACACATATACGCGTGTGTATATACGCATATATACACATATACGCGTGTGTATATACGCATATATACACATATATGTGTGTGTGTACACGCATATGTATACATATATATGTGTCACCAAATATATATGTATGTGTGTGTGTATATATACGGATATATATATACACATATCCAGAGTCATAGGAGAGGGCACCATGTCAATAAAAACCCCCATTCAGCCTCATAATCTACCTTTCCTTGGTCCAAAGGAAAATATATGAAAATACAAAGAGATCCCCCAGTGAATCCCCGACATTCATGGAAATCCACATTCAGGTGTGTTCTTTATGTTTCTGATATCTGTCTATATCTATATCTGTATCTGTATCTGTATCTGTATCTGTATCTGTATCTGTATCTATATCTATATCTATAGCTATATATCCTGCACAGGAAATGCAAACCACTAGACAAAAATAAGTTATTTTTCTCTTTATTCCTTTAGTTAAATCAAAAGTGCTTTTCTACAGCCCTATTCAGGCGGGCTATTATCTTATTGTCAGCAAGGCATGTTTAGATCATCTCACTCGTCTCCATGCATACCAGTCTGTCTGCTGAAATGCATCACTTAATTTTTTCATCAAGTGTTTCTTGAACACCCACTAATTGTACAGCTCAGTGGAGAATAAAATAGGAGAGTGAAGCCTGGTACCTCTCCTAGGTAATTTATGTGAGCATTCTTCATAAGCCTCCTATAGAGAGGTATCATATTTATTGCTGCTATCATTCTCTTGGGAGACAATACATGCTTAGAAAAAAAATAAGCACAGTAAGAGATAATGAAGAAGGTTCTGGTAGTTTCGCAGAAGTGTTCTAGAGCCGTGCTGTCCAATAGGGCAGCAATTAGCTACAGTAGCTATGAAGCATCTGACCCACAGCTAATCCAAATTGAGATGCACTATAAGTGAAAAATGAACAGCAGGCTTGAATGACATCAAAAAGAATGTAAATACCTATATTTACATTGTGTGTTAATATGACAATCTTTGATTATGTTGGGTTAAATTAAACACGTTAATATTAATTTTACCTTTTTATTTTTAAAATGCAGCTGCTAGAAAATTTTAAATCCCATATGTAGCTCACATTATATTTCTACGGAATATTGCTGTTTGAGATGCTCCTGAAAGCACAGGCACTTTTGAATAAGCAAAAAAAAAAAAACGGAAAGGGAAGAAAATTCTTTAAAAAAATTAAAGAAAAGGTGATAAAATGAGGGGATGAGTGGTGTATTTATCTCATGCTTCTGGTCTTCCCTCTCAGATTTGAGGCTGACAGTGAAAACATAATCCAAATTGATGCTGTTTAGAAACTAGTATTGACTTGAAAACTCTAACATTCTTCCATCCTGCATTTTTGCTATTGATTCCAAGAAAGAAAAAAAAAAGTAACACTAAGAAAAAGAATTGTGGGATAAAAGATAGGTTTGCAAAAATAATTTTTGGAGTTCCTTCTTGTAATTAGGTGTCCCTGTGGCCTGTCTGTGTCAGAGACACATGACACAAGACGTGATGTCCATACATTTAGCCTGAGTTTACAATGATAGACATTTCTGGATTCCATTAAAAGTAGATGGCAAGACACAATTAAAATAGTTCATTAGTAAAGTGATCCCAGAAAAAAAAAAAAAGCCATTGATAGCGAAGTAAAGTGAGATTGAAAAGGAGGCCAATAAAGTTACCAAGTTCAAGTTACTGTGGCTCACGCCTGTAATCCGAGCCCTTTGGGAGGCCAAGGTGTGTGAATCACCTGAGGTCGGGAGTTTGAGACCAGCCTGACCAACATGGTGAAATCCTGTCTCTACTAAAAATATAAAATTAACTGGGCATGGTGGCGCATGCCTGTAATCCCAGCTACTTGGGAGGCTGAGACAGGAGAATTGCTTGAACTCGGGAGGCAGAGGTTTCGGTGAGCAGAGATCCCACCATTGCACTCCAGCCTGGACGACAAGAGTGAAACTCTATCTCAAAAAAGCAAAAAACAAAAGTTAACAAGTAGGCCAGGTGTGGTGGCTCACACCTCCTGTAATCCTAGCACTTTGTGAGGCTAAGGTGGGAGAATCACTTGAGGCCAGAAGTTTGAGACCAGCCTGGGCAACATGGCAAGATCCCATCTCTAAATTTTTTTTTTTTTAATTAGCCAGGCATGGTGGTGAACATCAGTGGTCCCCAGCTAGTGGGGAGGTTCAGGTGGGGAGATTGCTTGAGCCCAAGAGTTTAAGGTTGCAGTGAGCTATGATTTCACTATTGCTCTCCAGCCTGGGTGACAAAGGGAGACCCTGCCTCTAAAAAGGTAATAACAATAATAAAAATAAAAATATATATATAAAGTTACCAAGCAATTTACCACTATGGACAACTGGAGTTTATTCCCATTGCAGAATTCTTGGTCATATGCAGTATATTGGCTTCAGATTGACTGACTCATATAAGGCATGAAGGACTGGAGTGCTATCATCTATGAAACCTGTCATCACTCGGAGGGATGATATGCCCTGGAACTTCCAGAATGCTCAATGCACACTTAGAGCAGGCTCCCGAAGCCTGAGAGAACTTTTAGGCAAAGAATCACAAGTGTTGGCAGTTGGAAGTTTGGCTGGACTGACCAGACATGGTGTGTCTCCAAGGAATACGGATAAAGCACTGATAATGTCTGCTATAGTTCCTGCTGCCACTGATTCTAGTATATGTAGGTTAATTGCAGAGCTGTTAGTAATTGCAAATACAGTCATATGTCGCTTAACAGCGGGACATAGTCTGAGAAATGCATTGTTAGATGATTTCATCATTGTGCAAACATCACAGTTTCCTTACACAAACCTAGATAGCAGAGCCTATTACACACCTAGGCTACATGATAGAGCCTATAGTTCCAGACTACAAACCTTCAGCATGACTGTATTGAATACTGCAGGCATTGTAATGGAATGATAAGTGTTGGTATACCTATACATACCTAAACATAGAAAAAGTGCAGAAAAATATAGTGTTATAATTTTACGCATACTTTGTTGATTGAAGCATCATTATGTCATGCATAGCTGTATTTTACAATTGCTCATGTGCAACAAAAAGCTAAAATGATTATATATATATACACACATATGATGGAAGACTATGCAGTTATTAACCTAGTGATATATCTTTACATTTCTTTACATAGAAAAATATTTCATAGTGAATAAGAAAATTGGATTGCTCTGAATGTCCAATCCATGTATTTGAGAACGATGACCTAGTTATTTAACATTTCACATATATTTATCTTGACCACTCTACAAGCTTGTAAGCTTATGATAGAAGAAAATTTTGTTGCTTTTATTGCTTTCTATGTATGTTATAACCTTCATTCTAAACTCTTGTTCCATGAAAAAACCATGAAGAGTGAATTCATACAAATGTGTGTGAGTATTGCAGCCAAAGCACACACACACACACACTTTCATATACCTTGGTCACATATGGATAGATACATATTCTCTTTAGATAAATCTGAAGGATCTTTTTTTCTTCTTATAAGTTTTGCTGAGGAAAGCTTTTATTTTTCCTCTCATAGAATTGTTCTTGGGAACTTGATTTTTTTTCCAAAGTAAAAAAGTGGGAAATTATAACTTGATCCAAAAGAGAGATGTGGCCAAATCAAAACAATAACACAATTCTCACTCAACTCTGCCACAGGTTTGGTGTGCTACCAGAGGGGTGGAGGAAACAAAGATTAAACATTCTTTGGTGTTAAGTTTTAAGAAAAATATAATAATTGAATGAATATAAAATAAGCAATAAAATTTTTAAACAAGGAGCAAATCTGGATAAGTCCTTGGAGAGAAACAGAAAATAGGCTGTCAAGAGAAGAAAATAGAACAAAGGAAGAAAGAAATCCCGGAACCCAGCATATGGTATTCTGAGTTGGAGAAGTTGTAATTTAAAAATAAGTTACAGTTTAGAATAACTTCTGAAAAGAGTGACAAGAGGAGCCCAATCAACCCTTTTACTGCCCACCCAAAAAGCTCCCAGAATGCACAGTTGCTACTACATGGCACCTCCATGCATTTTAAACACAGACACACAGACACACAGACACACACACACACACACACTGCCTAAATTTCCTGAATGTCTATAATATCATGGTTTGAAGCTTTACCCTAACAAATCATTGTTCTATACCTGCTCTGATATCTACTGTTTCTGTTTTATAAGGCTTGGAGATGGATCCAGATATCCAGATTTTGCAATAGTACGTGAAGCTCAAGAGAAGTCAGTAATGTTTTCATGACAATAAATAACTTTCTACATTTTTAAGGTCTTTAAGAAATCTGGATATTATCGAAGGATAAGAAATATAACATTTTAGAGATAAAAGATACCTTGAAATCTCCCCCTGCTCTCTCATTCATTTCTTTGACTGGGAAGACAAAATAATTTTCTCAAGATCTCATAGACAGCCATGGATAGATGACGTGGAGCAAGAACTTTGTTTTCATGTCTCACAGATATGGTTTATTTTCACTCTATCCTACACCACAACATCAAGTGGACTAATATTTTGGATGTAATCAAGAAGCTTTTATTATATAACTTATAAGTATCCAATGCTAAGAGCTATGGAGGCATATAAGAATATTAACACATGACCCAAATAGCCCTCAGAATTGAGATATCAAAAGAATTGATGGTGGAAGAGAATGTAATCATAATAATCAAAGCTGAATAGGATTTTAAACCATAAAAGTGTTTAGTTCTTCCAAAATTACAATAATATATTTCACTGTATTTTTTTAAAAAAACTATAAGCTTAGATTTTTGGTAAAGTAGGCTATATCTCCAGGGATAGAATGAGAACAATTAATAATGAATATTGAGAAGTATAAACTGTATTTGCTATGAGAAATAAATTTATTCTTCAGTGATTTATACATTTCTCCCCACCTTTTTTTAAGGTTATAAACAGAGAAATTCTGTTATAATTTGGCTTACAATTAAGCAACTTCTTTTTTTGCTTATTTGTTTGGGTTTTGTTTGTTCGCTTGTTTTGAGACAAGGTCTCGCTGTGTCTCCCTGGCTGGAGTGCAGTGGCGTAATCACGGCTCACTGCAACCTTGAACTCTTGGACTCAAGCGATCCTCCTGCCTTGGCTTCCCAAATTGCTGGGATTGCAGGTGTGAGCCACTGTACCCAACCAATAAAGCAGCTTCAAATAGAATTGGCCATTGGCTGCTGATGTTTCTCACGGACTCTCCGCGGTTATTTCATTGACCTCGTGCTAATGCAACATCTCATTTTGCACTTTTTTTTTTGTTTTGGATCTTACTTAGAGTGATGTGTGCATTTTACACACAATTTGATTTGTTTTTGTTGTTGATGTGAATATCATCATCACTATTAGTCTCCCTAAGTAGACAGACAAAAAAGCAATTTCATACAGGGAATAGCAAACCCCAGTCAAATTTTGTATTTGAAACATTAGAAAATAAGTGTAATCTCTGGAAACTTATAGTCACATCTTCATCAGTCTAGCGTCATGTACTACATGGATTCCAAAGAGGGCCTCAGTGGTTTATCTAGTTTGGTGAAACTTCGTGCCCCAAGCAGAAGATTGATTGACAGTAAAATGTCAATTCAATTCAGAAAAATGGTGCCTGGTGTGCTCCCATTGATCTTTTGATTATTTTTTCATAACTTGAAGAATGGGTCTTGTCAAATTTCGGGAAGCCCCATTGTTTTCAGTGGAGACAGAGAATTTCTAGAATGAGAACTCCGCAGACACTTATCATATTCCTTCCTTGCTGACAGGACTGATCATGTTTCTCTTAACTCACTGACATCCGGCTAATAAAAAAAAAATCATAGTAGACTATTGATATCAAAGAAAAACACAAGACTTCCAAAAGGTCCCCATGTAATTCAATGATTTAAGAAAATAACATGGTAAATGACAGATTATTTTCTGATACCCAGGAATATATATGGATTATAGAGGAGGAGCTCACTCTGAAGGAAAAAAAGGTAGTAGATATGTTTCCAAAATATCTAGAGCTTTAATTTTGTAACCTAATGTACGTTATCTTATTTGATGTTTAATGTAACCATCCTTACCTTAATTCACTTATTGAAAGTCTGTAATGAATTGCAGTAAATCACCTTATATCCTAAGAGTCAGTGAATAAAATTAAATTAAACAAATATTTAAACTAATATTACATAAAAGACAGGTTTAGCCATCACAGAGGAAAGAAAGAGGAAAGCTGTATTTTTTTATGAGACATAAAATAGAAATGAAAATAATTGTAATGTAAAGCAGAATATGCTACCTACCAAGTAATGGATACAAATAAAGTGCAAACTCGGTGGAGAAAGAGTTTATTTTCATCATTGAATATCAAACAAATATCAGAATAGTCTAAGTATAGTTGGATATTAAGAATGAGTGGGATTTCTGGAAGCAGCTGTGTTGGGCTATGACTATTGCAAGGGCTGTCCTTTTCTTTGTCCTGTCTCAGAGAAAAAAGCCCAGCAAGAATGTGTAAGGATAGAGGCTGGCATGGGTTTAGAGGGTGTCCCACAGTTCCTTAAACTGTTGCACTTATGTTTGTGGATGTATATCATTATCATTTGCACATATGCAAGACAAAGTCAACTCTTTTCCTAGTTGTGTCTAATACCATTCTCTTCCACATGTAGTTTGTTCTGCCACATTCCCACTGATTGTTCCCACTTCGGCATGTATATTTTGTCCCTGTGATTCATTTAGATAGACGTGACTTTTCCCTTCTCTACATTCCTGTATATTTTTATATAACTTAATATTCTCTTGTAATTACATGTTTATATATTTATGTCTCTCTTGGTACTCTCAGGACCTAATTATTAGCATGATACTTTGTAAATTTTTAGTGAGTCTTTTCATTTTTTTAACTGCATGAAAAAATAATGAATGAATAGAGAGAGATTTTTAACCTCTTCTCATTATTTTGAGTTTTTGCTTATAGTGGTATAATATTCTATAATGGTGGTTTATGGAGTAAAATAGCTCTCTTTACAAGGAACGTGACCATAGGTATATGTATACATTTTATCTAAGGGTTATATTCTAGGCTATATTCTGCCTGAAGCATTTTCAACAACATAGTTTTGTAGAATAAAAATAGGAAGGTTGGGAAGATTGTATAAAACCACATGAATTGTTTGAAGTTATTGAAGAATTCACAAAGAGACAACTTGAACATTTCCTTTTATTGCTAAGTATATAGAAGAGGCTATTCTCCCTCTAATATCAGTTGTATGGATTGAAGGCAGTACTTTATAGGTTGGTCAGACTACCTTATAAAACTATCAGGGTGTTTGATAAAAACATCAGTGCAATCATTTTCCACTCCAGAACATAAATGTCTCTTTAAATGCAACAGTTTGTTATAATACTTTGAAACTCATTCGGCTTCTGCAGATTTACATTCCTAATACATAAAACAGAAATAACTCTAAGTAGACACCTTTATCTGTGCCATCAGACACTTATGGTAAATGCCTTAAAGATAATGAACTAAAGTACCGTTATAAACTTTAATCATAGATGTTTCTTCAAAAATTCATAATCTATAGAAATGTTTATAGCACCCAGAAGCAATTACTTGTGAACATTGATATATGCTGAGTAGTACTCTGCTAGGAAACAAAACAATTCGGAAATAAAAGAAAAATGAAACAAGATTTAATGAAAAGTTATCTTAAAAATATACAATAAGTTTTGTATATGGCTAAGATTTTGGGATTTTAGTACTATAATGATGATACAGTACTATTATAAACTACAGAAATAATTATTGCACTATGCTTCAGGCATACCTTTCATATTGTAATAATATCAAAATGGTCCTTAAGTTTATCCACAAACAAGGTTAATCTAACGAATAAATAATCTACTTCACTTTTTACATTTTATAAGGAGTATAGGAATGCTTATATTATAAAATACCAATGTATATAATACAAAACTTGGAAATTCCTTATTTATAACCATCGAGGCCATTTTTACCCAATCCCAACAGTCATCTCAGGAATTGTGGACCTTCTTTCAGAAAGGTAGTTAAACATATACATACATATATTTATATATCTAAATATATGTTAACTATGTATAGTGGTTTATATAGTATTATGTATTAATGTGCAGTAATATTTTTACTGTTATATTAATGTACAGTGATTTTTTTACTTAAGAAGATGTATTGGGTAGAAAAAAATACAAATACATTTATGCCCCATTGTATTCTTTTAAGTGATATCTGTAATTTCACAGGTAGGCTGCACCACAGTCATTTAAAACCAGTCCTCTATTCATGAACATTTAATTTGAATCCAGTATTTGCTTATTAAAAATAATACCAGAATTTCTCTTCTAGTCATGATAGAATAGCAGAGGCCAATTTTAGCCCCTCACATTATAAAACTAGAAACCCCAAGCAACTATATAAAACAACCTTTTCAGACATTGAAAAATAGACCGGACAGATTATTATCCCTTAAAAAGGGGAACCAAATAAGGTAAGCCATAAAATCACCCTTCTGCTGGAGGCACATTATGAACGACAGTACAAGGATGGACAGTCCCATGTAAGGCCCAGCAGTTTCATTGCGTTGAGGACGCAGAAATTGGAATTCATGAATGCTGAAGTGACAGAAGTGTACAAGGTGAAATTCTGTAGAGGAGAGATCATGCAGAAAAAGAATCTCATAAATCTACTAGGTGTTTCCATAAGTATAAAGAATATTAAAAATGTACAAATACATGATGTTTAAAAAAGAATTCCATGAGGTTTAAGACAGAACTTCTGAAAGTCCCCTAGAGCTAACTCAAAGCTATGACTCATTAGTTTTCTCACCAGCAAGAGTGAAGTGCTCTTTTTGTTCGCTCAAAGTATTCAGTAGATATCCCACAAAGAACAATTTCTTAGTAATAGGGCAGAACTATCCCTAGAGTAAAGACCACAGTAGACCTGCAAAAATAAGCATAGAAGGCAAGTTTCAAATTGATCTAACAGGGCTCCAATTTATTTAAGAACTTACCAAGACAAAGGAAAACATTCTATAAGGCTGACAATAATATCCAAAGACCCCACAGCATAAAATTACAATGTACAGCATCCAATAAAAAAATTACTAGACATGATAAAAGGTGAGAAAAAATATGATCTAGAATCATGAGAAAAATCACTAAATGGAAACGCAGTCCCTTGAAACAGAAGTGGTAGAATTTGCATGAAAGAATGTTAAAACAGTAATTATATTATGTTCAGTTATTTGGAGGAAATGAGAAGAAAGAAACGCATGATATGAAAAAATTTAAAACTTTTCGAGATAGAAAACACAATGTCTAAACTGGAAAGGTCACTGGATAAGGCTAATATAAGACGAGATAATTTAGAAGGAAGATTAGTGAACCTGAAGAACACCAACAGAAACTATTGACAATGAAGCATGGCGGGGGAAAACCTGAAAAAAAAAAGAGAGAGAGAGAACCTCAGTAAAATGAGTATCAACTTGTTGTATACATGTGTAACTGAAGTACAAGAAAAGAGAAAAATGATGTGCAAGAGGAGAAAAATAAATTTGAAAAATTAATGACTACAAATGTATCAAATTTGATAAAAAATATAAGCTCACCAGTTTAAGAAGTTCAACAAACTCCTGGCATAATAAGCACTTATGCACACACACACAGACACAACACAGATACACCACCACAACAATAAAACAAACAGAAACACCCACAGAAAAGCAAAGCAAATACATGCACACACACACACACACACACCCCAAGATAAACTCTCAATAGTGACTAAGAGAATTTCCTATAAACAGCCTAGAGGAAAACTCTCATTATATTACAGAACATATAAGGTAAATCAAAGATTTTTTGATAGAAATAATGAAAGCCAGCACAATTGTACTAAATCTTTAAAGGGCAAGAATTCTTTAAAAAGTTAACTTCAAAATGTAAGTGCAGTGAAAATATATTTAAAAATTGAAGACTAAATGCAACATGTTTATCAACAAAAGTTGACATAATTTGTGTTCAACACTAATGTATTATAAGAAACTAAAATGGAAATTGTTGAAAGTAGAGGAAACTGGTGGTAGGTGGAAACTTAGAACTTCAAAAAGGATGATGGATACCAGAAATGCGATTTAAATTTTTCTTTAAAAATTAATAAGCATTCTAATGCAAAACACCAAAAGTAAATAATGAACTTAAAATAGACATACAAATAAAATAAATGACCAAAATAGCATAGAGGATTGGAGGAAGAAAATGAAGAAAAGAGTTGTAGATATTTATATTACATGTGAAAAATTATAATATCAATTGAAGGCAGGCTGTAATATGTAAAAAATGCATATTGTGTATCTGAGAGCATCCCATAAAATAATAAACCTAGATGTATAGCTAATAAGCCAATAGTGGTTGTAAAATGGAATAACATAATTAATCCCTAAGAAGGCAGGAAAAGGTGAAAAAAATAAAGAACAGATGGGATGAATGGAATATAATTAGCAAGATGGTAGACATAAGCCAAATCATTTTGATAATTGATTTGAATAGAAATTGTCTAACATCCCAAGTAAAAGACAGAAATTATCCACCAGGATAATAAAGCAAGACCAAATTATACATCTCCTAGGGGAAAAAAAAACAGATATAAAGATAAAATAGAATAAAGGAGAAAAGGATTGCAACAGATATGTCATGTAAACACTACGATATCAAGCACTAATATCTGAAAAGAAAACTGCAGGACAAGGAATAAAGAAAGACATTTCAAACTTATAAGTGTTTCCATGTATCAAGAAGACATACGAGTTCCACTTGTAAGTACACCCAATAACAGAACTTCAAAATATATGAAGCAAACCCGATAGGAGAAATTTTTGAAAACCCTGCAATTTTATCTGTATGTTTCAACACTTCTTTCTGAGTAACTGGTAGAATAAGGAGAGTACAAACCAGTAATCGCATCCTAGTGGAGATGGAGTGCCACTCAAGAGAACCTGTGTGAAAAACATTGACTTATGCTCGCCAGCCGCTGCTTCTGCAGGTCCACTGTTGGATTAGCGTCATGGCCACACTTCTCCCAGGGTGCCGGTAGTAAATGACTGACATGATCAGGGTACTAAAGAAGGTTGTTCTTGCCCAGCGGAGGAAGTCTCTAATTGGCAAGCGCTTTTCAATAATTATCCATTAACTTGGACTGAGCTTTCTCAGAACGGTGTGGTGATCTGAGGCTCACTCCACCCAATCTCCCTTCTTTATTTTTTTCTCTCTCTCTTTATTCTGAGAGCTGTACTGTCCTCTGAAAGCTCTCCTCAACTTCTCCTGTCCCTCCCCCTTTATCTTTTATATGTACTTTCCCCAATAAATATTCAATTAATTCTGTCTTCACAAATAATTCTCAGAAGACACAGAATGACACAGATATAGAAGACTTCAACGTTGTTACCTATTTTAAACTAATTGACAACTATAAGAAACTAACCAACAACAGAATTTTCAAATGCATATAAATTGTGGTGTTATGCATTATTTTAACTTATCCCAAAGGAGTCTTGCTCTGTTGCCCAGACTGGAGTGCAGTGGTGCGATCTTGGCTCACTGCAGTCTCCACCTCCCTCGTTCAAGCGATTCTCCTGCCTCAGCCTCCCAAGTAGCTGGGATTACAGGTGTGTGCCACCACACCTGGCTAATTTTTGTATTTTTGTTAGAGACTGGGTTTCACCATGTTGGTCAGGCTGGTCTGAAACTCCTGACCTCAAGTGATCCGCCCACCTTGGCTTCCCAAATTGCTGAGATTACAGGCATGAGCCACTGCACCTGGCCCCAGAGTATTTTCTAATATTTCCTGTAATTTTTTTCTTGACACCTTGGCTATTTAGAAGTATGTTCTTCAAATTCCATGTATTTGGAAATGTCCCCCAAACCCTTTGCTTGCCGATTTCTAGTTTTAATTGTTTAAAATATATTATCTAGGATAATATTATATATTTTGTGCAATTTCAGTTTTATGGCATGGTGGACCTGGGGAATCTTTCATGTGCACTTGAGAAGAATGTGCATTTGATGGTGTTGGTTGGAATGTTCTTTAAGTATGTTTTAGGTCTATAGTGTTGTTCAAGTCTTATATATCTTTGTTTATCTTAAGTCTAGTACGTCTTTCCATCATTCAGAGTAGGCTACTGAAATCTCCAACAGTTATTTTTGAAAGTCTCCTTTTTAAAAACAACTATCAATTTTGATCTATCTTTTTGGAGACTATGTTGTTTATCACATACGTGTTTTCAATGGTTATATTATTCAGAGGGACTGATCCTTTAATTATACAATGACCCACTTTGTTTCTAGAAACATTTCTGTCTTAAAACTTATTTTGTCTGATAATAATGTAGCTACTCTCACTCTCTTATGCTTTCTGTTTGCATCAAGCTTACATCCTTCCATCTCATCTTTTCACTTTCAACGTATTTAAATGGTTTTTTTTTTTTAGTTTGAGATGGAGTCTTGCTCTGTTGTCCAGCCTGGAGTGCCCTGGTGCAATCTCGGCTCACTACAACTTCAGCCTCCTGGGTTCAAGTGATTCTCGCACCTCAGCCTTCCAGGTAGCTAGGATTACAGGTGCTCACCGCCATGCCTGGCTAATTTTTTTTTTTTTTGATGTTTTTAGTAGAGACGGAGTTTCACCATGTTGGCCAGGCTGATCTCAAACTCCTGACCTCAGGAGACCTGCCCGCCTTGGCATCCCAAAGTGCTGGGATTACAGGCATGAGCCATTGCGCCTGGCCTAAATCTTTAAATTTCAAGAGTTTACCTTTTAGACAGCTTATTGGTGTTGTTTTATACTTTGGTATGATGATCTCTGGCTTTTGTTGGATTATTCATCTACTTATATGTTTCATGTTATAATTAATATTGGTGTATTTATATCTGCCATTTTGCTCTTTGTTTTCTGTCTTATTCACATTTTTTCCTCTGTAGCGCCTTTACTTCCCTCATTTGCAATAAGTAGATATTTTCTACCGTACTTTGTTTTTTGAGTTAGCTTTAGTGACAGCTGTAGAGTTTTCAACATGCATATTAACTCATAAGAATCTACTTCAGATTTATGGGACCTTTATTCTAGAGAAATGTGACAATTTTACTCCAATATAGTTCTATTCTCTCCACCCATATTTGTGCTACTGTTAGCACATATATTATATCTATATATGTTACAATCCTGATGTAGTGTTATAATTATTGCTTTTTATCATCTCATGGCTTTTAAAGAAGCTAAGAGAAGAAAGAAGAAAATATTTTACATAATGTTTATGTCAATATTCTTATTTACCATTTCCTGCTCTCATTATCTTTTTCCATATGGCATTGGCTTTTTGCCCCACCATGTTCTCATTACTCTCCTCCTCCTTTTGGCTATCATGTTCAATATATTATATTTCTATATGTTACAGTCCCAATGATATCATTTTAAAGTTATTGCGTTATGCTTTTATTTTAAAAAATTGGTTGATAGTAAAGAAAAAATATTTCATTATATCTCATGGAGTCTACAGTTCCTCCCTGTGTTTGGCTATGAATGAGTAGCTCACAGGTACCCTCTCTTTTTTCCTCTCTTGTTGCTCTTAAGTGACTGCAGTATAGCACATGTGCACAGCCTTCCAGAACACTAGAGGTGAGTGTGAACTTAGTAGGTCCTCTTCAATTGTCTCTTTCCATGTATCTCTGTGTTCAGTGTTCTTGTTACTCTGTCACTTCGTTTGCTTCTGCTAGAATCTTGGAGCTGTTAGAATTCTCTGATTGCTTGCATTATGACCTCGTTGTTTGTGACTTTGTGCTTGAACATGGATTCCTCCTCAATGTGTTCCAAAGGCCTTCTGGTCCCACTGGAATACATCATACACAATTCAGACCTCGAGGAAAGTTTGGAAGCCCCAACTCCCCTGACTTCCATACATAGAGACTATATTACAGAGCAGACTCTGGAGGAGGGATTGGAACTGTGTCCCTCTGGAATATACTTCTGCAACTCTGAGTTGGAGGAATGGAGGAAGCCTTTAGTTCAAATGCAACAGCCCCCCACCGTCTTTAATAAGGTTTAGAGGATTATCTTGAATAAATGTTTCTTGATTTGCTTTATTCCCTTTGGTCAGGTTCCAGATAATTTAAAACTTTGTCCAGTGATTTTAACTAGTTCAATAGTTGTTTTCTATGGAGATCCTCATACAGGCTTTCTGGCAATTACCTGATTACCTTGAGATCTGTTATTTTCCTGTTTTCTATCTGCCACTTGTGTTCTATAAACCCTTTTCTTTCTTTTGAATTAAACAAATGTTATGTATTATTTTCTTTAGTTGGCTTTTAGCTGTATTTTAGTGCTTTGTTATTTTAGTGATTGCTTTAGGGTTTATAGTACACAACTTTGTCAGTTTTCTGTCATGTAGTATATTACTGAGTATAAGAATCTTACAATAATATACTTCTAATATTGCCCCTCTTAACCTTTTTGTTACTGATATCACACTTTATATTTCACTCTACATTGCTAAAATAGGTAGACAGATACATAGATACATAGATAGATACCATATAACTAACACTTAAACACTTTAACAATTATTTTCTTATAGTTCTGCCTTTTTGAAAGTTCCTTGTATATGGAATTAGATACTATGCAGCCATTTCAGTCTACCTTCTTTCACTTAGCAAAACACACTAAAAATTTATCCATATTGTTGCTGCCTAAATCCATAGTTCATTTTTATCATGGAATAGAATTCTATTGTATGAATTTACTGTAGTTTTTCTATTTTCCAGTTGAAGATGACATCTAGGTTATTTGTAATGGTTGACAATTATGAATAAAATGCTAAATATATTTGTGTACAGATTTTCATTTGAACAGGAATTTTCAATTCTCTAAGGTTAATACTTAGGAACATGATGCTGAGTCATATGGCAGGTGTTTATAAGAAACTTCCAAATTGTTTGCTAAAGTAGCTATATTATTTCATATCTCCACCAGGGAGGCATGAAAGTTTCAAATATTCTACTACCTAAACAGCATTTGGGATTGCCAGTGTTTTGGAATTTTAGACATTTAAATTTTGATGTAGCAATGTGTCATTGTGATTATAATTTACATTTCTCTAATAATAAATGGCATTGAGCATATTTAATGTGTTTATTTGACATCTGTTTACATTATATCATTAAATGTCTATTCAGATATTTTGCCTATAATTAAGGGCTATTTGATTTCTTTTCTTTCTTTTTTTAACAGGCATACCTTATTTTATTGTTCTTTGTTTTATTGTGTTTCACTGATTTTGTGTTTTATAAAATTATTATTATTATTATTTTAACTTTTAGGTTTGGGTACATGAGAAGGTTTGTTACAAAGGTACACACGTGTCATGGGAGTTTGGTGTGCATATTATTTCATCACCCAGGTATTAAGCCCAGTACACAATAGTTATTATTTTCTTATTGTTGAGCTTTAAGCATTATTTCTATAGTCTGGATTCAAGACCTTTGCAGGAAATGTGACTTGTACATTTATATTCTCCCAGTCTGTGACTTGTCTTTTCATTTCCTTGATAGTGTATTTTAGATAGCAAATGTCTTTGATTTTACAAATTTTCTTCTATCCATTTTTTAAGATATTGTACTTTTAGGTTGTATCTAATAAGTCTTAGCCCAAAGTTAGGCAAATTTTCTTTTCTGTTTTATTCTAAAACTTTTATTATTTACATTTCAGACTTAAGACTACGATATGCATTTGATTTAATTTGTAATGATTGTGAAGTATACAACAGTGATATTATTATTTTTGTTTCTACGTGGATGTCCAATATTTGAGCAATGCTAATATTATTGAATTTTTTTTTTTACCTTTGTCAAAAATCAGTTGACTGTATCTTGGGAGTTTATTTCTGGGCGTTCCTTTCTGTTTCACTTTTCAATATGTATCTTTTTTATTATATCACTCTTGCATTATAGCTTTATAGTGAGTCTTAAAAATGATATTTATCCTTCAACTTTGTCCTTACTTTTCAAAAATCCTTTTTTGAATCCTTTGTCCTTACTTTTCGAAAATCCAGTTTTAGTTTTCTGCATATGGCTAGCCAGTTTTCCCAACACCATTTATTAAATAGCGAATCCTTTCCTCATTGCTTGTTTTTGTCAGGTTTGTCAAAGATCAGATGATTGTAGATATGTGGCATTATTTCTGAGGCCTCTGTTCTGCTCCATTGGTCTATATATCTGTTTTGGTACCAATACCATGCTGTTTTGGTTACTGTAGCCTTGTCTCTGTTTTTTAGTGGTTAATTCATTTCCATTAAATGTAATAATTGATATGAGTGGATTTACATCTGCTCTTTTGCAATTTGCTTTCTAAATGTCTCCTGAACTAAAAAAAAAAATTTTTTTCTGCTTTTCTCTTCCTTCATTACTGCCTTCTTTTAATGTACCATGTTTTTTCCTTTCTGATTATTTACTAGACAATTTTGAGTTATTTTCATAGTGGTTATTCTAGTAATTATAATAAGCAACTGAATTTATCATCCTGTTATATATAAGTAGTAACTTAGTTCCAGTAAAACATAAAAACTTTGATACAATTTAACCTTATTCTTTTTCTCAAAATTTTCCTGTTTCATATATATCTGTATATTATAAACTCAACAATATAGTATTATATAATAATTCTTCCTTTATACAATTGTCTTTTAAACCAGTCAGGATAAAAGAAAAAATATATATTCATTCTGTCTTTCAAAATTTCTGCATAATTACCCTTTCTGGTACTTTTTACTGAATTAGAATTACTGACTGATGTTATTTTCTTTCATATAGAAGGACTTTTCCTACTACTTCTAGTAAGGCAGATTAAGAACAAATAATATCAGTCTTTGTTCATCTTAGAAAGTCTTTGTTTTGCCTTCATTTTTGATAGATGGTTTTGTTGGGTGTAGAATTATTGCTTGAAGTAGTTTTCTTTCAATGCTTTGACTATAATACTCCACTGCTTTCAAACATCCATTGTATCTCTGAGAAGCTACATGGTGTTCACAATGCAGTTTACCTATATGTAAAGAGTTGCTTTTCTCTTCAGTTTTAGAGGTTTTCTGTTTTTCTTTGTCTTTTGGCCTGCTTTACATAATTTTTAAATATGTTTGTAATTGCTGCTTTGAAGTCTTTGTCTGATAAGCCTAAAACTACTTGAGAAGGGAAAAATACCTATTTTAGCAGTTGGAATTAATAGGTTAAATGCTTAAATGTGGATTTTATAAATTTTTAATTTATTGAATTAAAAATTGGTAATAAACTTAAAAATTAACTGATCACTAAATTTAAAGATATTTAGTTTTTATCAATTTTGTGTATTTTGAATATTAGTGTACCAAGAAAATACACAGACTAAAGCTTTTTGGGAGTTTCTGCCCAGAAAACAAATCCTAAGAATTAGAGCTCGTTATTGGTGTATAAGAATGCTTGTGATTTTTGCACATTTATTTTGTATCCTGAGACATTGCTGAAGTTGCCTATCAGCTTAAGGAGATTTTGGGCTGAGACGATGGGGACTTCTAGATATACAATCATGTCATCTGCAAACAGGGACAATTTGACTTCCTCTTTTCCTAATTGAATACCCTTTATTTCTTTCTCCTGCCTGATTGCCCTGGCCAGAACTTCCAACACTATGCTGAATAGGAGTGGTGAGAGAGGGCACCCCTGTCTTGTGCCAGTTTTCAAAGCGAATGCTTCCAGTTTTTGCCCATTCCGTATGATATTGGCTGTGGGTTTGTCATAAATAGCTCTTATTATTTTGAGATACGTCCCATCGATACCTAATTTATTGAGAGTTTTTAGCATGAAGGGCTGTTGAATTTGGTCAAAGGCCTTTTCTGCATCTATTGAGATAATCATGTGGTTTTCAAACAGGGACCCAAATCATGAGTGAACTCCTGTTCACAATTGCTTCAAAGAGAATAAAATACCTGGGAATCCAACTTACAAGGGATGTGAAGGACCTCTTCAAGGAGAACTACAAACCACTGCTCAATGAAATAAAAGAGGATACAAACAAATGGAAGAACATTCTATGCTCATGGGTAGCAAGAATCAATATCGTGAAAATGGCCATACTGCCCAAGGTAATTTACAGATTCAATGCCATCCCCATCAAGCTACCAATGACTTTCTTCACAGAATTGGAAAAAGCTACTTTAAAGTTCACAAGGAACCCAAAAACAGCCTGCATTGCCAAGTCAATCTTCAGCCAAAAGAACAAAGCTGGAGGCATCACGCTACCTGACTTCAAACTATACTACAAGGCTACAGTAATCAAAACAGCATGGTACTGGTACCAAAACAGAGATATAGACCAATGGAACAGAACAGAGCCCTCAGAAATAATACCACACATCTACAACTATCTGATCTTTGACAAACCTGAGAAAAACAAGAAATGGGGAAAGGATTCCCTATTTAATAAATGGTGCTGGGAAAACTGGCTAGCCGTATGTAGAAAGCTGAAACTGGATCCCTTCCTTACACCTTATACAAAAATTAATTCAAGATGGATTAAAGACTTACATGTTAGACCTAAAACCATAAAAACCTTAGAAGAAAACCTAGGCATTACCATTCAGGACATAGGCATGGGCAAGGACTTCATGTCTAAAACACCAAAAGCAGTGGCAACAAAAGCCAAAATTGACAAATGGGATCTAATTAAACTAAAGAGCTTCTGCACAGCAAAAGAAACTATGATCAGAGTGAACAGGAAACCTACAACATGGGAGAAAATTTTCGCAACCTACTCATCTGACAAAGGGCTGATATCCAGAATCTACAATGAACTCAAACAAATTTACAAGAAAAAAACAAACAACCCCATCAACAAGTGGGCAAAGGATATGAACAGACACTTCTGAAAAGAAGACATTTATGCAGCCAAAAAACACATGAAAAAATGCTCATCATCATTGGCCATCAGAGAAATGCAAATCAAAACCACAATGAGATACCATCTCACACCAGTTAGAATGGCGATCGTTAAAAAGTCAGGAAACAACAGGTGCTGGAGAGGATGTGGAGAAATAGGAACACTTTTCCACTGTTGGTGGGACTGTAAACTAGTTCAACCATTGTGGAAGTCAGTGTGGCAATTCCTCAGGGATCTAGAACTAGAAATACCATCCCATTACTGGGTATATACCCAAAGGATTATAAATCATGCTGCTATAAAGACACATGCACACATATGTTTATTGCGGCACTATTCACAATAGCAAAGACTTGGAACCAAGCCAAATGTCCAACAATGATAGACTGGATTAAGAAAATGTGGCACATATACACCATGGAATACTATGCAGCCATAAAAACGATGAGTTCATGTCCTTTGCAGGGACATGGATGAAGCTGGAAACCATCATTCTCAGCAAAGTATCACAAGGACAAAAAAACTAAACACCACATGTTCTCACTCATAGGTGGGAATTGTACAATGAGAACACATGGACACAGGAAGGGGAACATCACACACCAGGGCCTGTGGTGCGGTGGGGGGAGGGGGGAGGGATAGCATTAGGAGATATACCTAATGTTAAATGACGACTTAATGGGTGCAGCCCACCAACATGGCACATGTATATATATGTAGCAAACCTGCACGTTGTGCACATGTACCCTAAAACTTAAAGTATAATAAAAAAAAAGAATTAGAGCCCATTGAACAAGTTTCTGAAACATTAGAGTGTTAACCCACTGGGCATTTTCCAGTAATGTCTAATACTAATACGGACACATCTCGGAGATAATGTGTCTTTATTTTCAGACCACCATAATAAAATGAACATTGCAATAAAACCAGTAACACTAATTTTTGGTTTCCAATGCATATAAAATATATGTTTATATTACACTGTAGTCTATTAAGTGTGCAATAACATTATGTCTAACAAACAATATACATACTTTTGAAATACTGTATTGCTAAAAAAATGCTAATGATCATCTGAGCCTTTAGCGAGTTGTAGTCTTTTTTGCTGGGGAAGGTTCTTGTCTTGATGTTGATGGAGGCTGAGTGATCAAGGTGGTAACTTCTGGTGACTGCAGCAATTTCTTAAAATAAGACAATAATACATTTTCCTGCATCAATTGACTCTTCCCTATACTAAAGATTTCTTTGTAGTACGTGATGCTCTTTGAGCACTATAAAATGTATATCAAAATTGGAGTCACTCCTCTCAAACCCTAATGCTGCTTTATCTACTAAGTTTGCATTATATTCTGAATTGATTATTTTCATTTCAACAATGTCCACAGCCTCTTCACCAGGAGTAGAAGCCATACCAAGAAATCACATTCTTTGCTCATTCATAAGAAGCAGCTCCTCATTAATTCTAGTTTGATTATAAGATTGCAGCAATTCAATCACATATTCAGGCTCCACTTCTAATTCTAGTTCTCTTTCTATTTCTACCACATCTGCAATTACCTTGTCCACTGAAATCTTTTTGTAATTTTAATTTTTTTTTTATTTTAAGTTCTGGGGTACAAATGCAGGATGTGAAGGTTTGTTACATAGATAAAGGTATGCCATGGTAATTTGCAACCTATCAACCCATCGCCTAGATATTAAGCCCAGCACACATTAGCTATTTTTCCTAATGCTCTCGCTCCCACCACCCCAGCCCCCAACAGGCCCCAGTGTGTGCTGTTCCCCTCCCTGTGTCCATGTGTTCTCATTGTTCAGCTTCCACTTATAAGTGAGAACATGCAGTGTTTGGTTTTCTGCTCCTGCATTAGTTTGCTGAGGATAATGGCTTTCAGCTTCATCCATGTCCTTGCAAAGGACATGATCTCATTCCTTTTTACGGCTGCATAGTATTCCATGGTATATATGTACCACATTTTCTTTATCCAGTCTATCGTTGATGGGCATTTGGGTTGATTCCATGTTTTTGCTATTGTGAATAGTGCTGTAATGAACATATGCACACATATATCTTTGTAATAGAATGATTTATATTCCTTTGGGCATATACCCAGTAATGGGATTGCCAAGTCAAATGGTATTTCTGGTTCTAGATCTTTGAGGAATTGCCACACCATCTTCCACAATGGTTGAACTAATTTCATTCCCATCAACAGTGTAAAAGTGTTTCTATTTCTCTGCAACCTCACCAACATCTGTTGTTTCTTGACTTTTTAATAATTGCCATTCTGACTGGCATGAGATGGTATCTCATTGTGGTTTTGACTTGCATTTCTCTAATCTGTCTTCCACTGAAATCTTGAACCATTCAAAATCATACATGAAGGTTGGAATTCATTTCTTCCGAACTCCTGTTAATGTTGATATTTTGAGCTCTTCTCACGAATCACTAATGTTTTTAATGGCATCTAGTGTGTCGAATCCTTTCCAGAATGTTTTTGATTTACTTTGCTCACATGCATCAGGAGAATCACTATCTATGGCAGCTGTACTGTAGGCTTACAAAATGTATGTCTTAAATAATAAGACTTGAAAATCAAAATGACTGCTTGATACATGGGATGCAGAATGGACATTGTTTTAACAGACATGAAAATGTCATTAATATTCTTATACATTTCCATTGGAACTCTTAAGTGACAAGGTGCATAGCCAATGATCAGTATATTTTAAAAGAAGGCTTTTTTTTTTCTGAGCAGTAGATTTTAGCAGTGGCCTTAAAAATGGTTTGTAAACCATATTATAAACATGTGTTTTAATTTATGCTTTGTTTTTCTGTTTATAGAGCACAGGAAAAGTATATTTAGCATAATTCTTAAGGGCCCTAGGATTTTCAGAATCACAAAAGAGCATTGGTTTCATTTTAAAGTCGCCAAATGTATGACCCTTTATTGAGAGAGTCAGCCATTAAAGTTTGAAGACAGGCATCAATTTCTTGCTAGCTGTGAAAGTCCTAGATGGCGTCTTCTTCCAATAGAATGCTGTTATGTCTCCATTGAAAATCTGTTGTATGGTTGTAGCCACCCACAATAATTATCTTAGCTAGATCATCTGGATAATTTGCTGCAGCCTCTCCATCGGGGCTTGCTGCTTCACTTCTACTTTTATGTTGTAGAGATGGCTTCTTTCCCTCAACCTCACGAACCAAGCACTGCTCATTTCACACTTTTCTTTGTCAGCTACCTTAGCTCTCTCAGCCTTCAGAGAATTGAGTGAAGGCTTTGCTATGAATTCAGCTTTGGCTTAAAGGACTGTTGCAGCTGGCTTGGTTGTCTATCTAGACCACTCAAACTTTCTCTATAACTACAATAAGATTGTTTTACTTTTTGTTTTTTAACCATTCATATGTTCACTGGAGTAGCACATTTAATTTCCTCCAAGAACTTTTCTTTTTTTTTTTTTTGAGGCGGGGTCTCATTCTGTCACCCAGGCTGAAGTGCAGTGGCAGTCTCAGCTTACTACAACCTCTGCCTCCCGGTTCAAGCAATTCTTGTGCCTCAGCCTCTGGAGTAGCTGGGATTACAGGTACACGCCACCACGCCCTGGTAATTTTTGTATTTTTAGTAGAGATGGGCTTTCACCATGTTGGCCAGGGTGATCTTGACCTCCTGACCTCTTTTCAGTAACTGTTTGGGGCTAACTGGAGCAAGAGGCCTAGCCTTCAGTGTGTCTCAGCTTTCAAGATGTCATCCTCATTGAGCTTAATCATTTCTGGCTTTGGATTTAAAGTCAGTAATGTGCGACTCTTCCTTTCACTTGAACACTTACAGACCATTGCAGGGTCATGAACTGGTTGTGTTTCAGAGAATAGGGTGTTCCCAGGAGAGGGAGAGAGATGGAGGGCATCCAGTCATTGGAGCAGTGAGAACCCACACAACATTCATGGATTAAGTTCACAGTCTCATATGGCACATTCATGAAGCCCCAAAACAATTCCACTAATTACATCAAAGATCACTTGTCAAAAATTACCTTAATAGATATAATAATAATGAAAAAGTTTGGAATATTTGACACAGATACACAAAATAGTAATACTGTTAAATGCATGGTGCTGACAGACTTTCTTGAGGCATGGTTATCAAAAACCTTCTATTTGTAAAAAATGCCATATCTGTAAAGCTCAACTAAGCAAAGCACAATAAAATGAGGTATTCCTGTGCCATGTCTCATACTAACATTGTTTTTCAAAAGCTTTACGATCTTTACCTGAGGCACTGCCATGGCATACTTACCTGCAGCTATGTAAATTGAAACCAAACTACAATATGAGATTATGAGTATTTATCATTTTTCATTGTAATTTGTAATATTAATTAATAATGTAATATTGGTTTCATTTTTATTTTTTGCAGAAAAGAAAATATTATACTTAAACTATTTTATATTTCAATTTTGACAAAATTCAAGTCACAGATTTATTTCCAGTTCATATGAAAACAAGACTGTTTTACTTATCAATTGGAAAAATACGTATTTCTTTTTTTTTCTAATACCCAACCTTTAATTGTATCAACTTTGGTGTAGAATTCCCTCACAAGCTGCAGTTATTCTAATGACCCCCATGCTTTTTCCCAACCCTCTTGCATACAACAGAGGAGCCATGATTCCTCAGGGAAAAAAAAAAGAACTTTGTAAGTCCAATTTGTGTCCTGAAGAAGATGAATGCCTTGTGTTTTTCTCTAAGAAAAGAAACCTTGAGTTTTAACTAGGCACATAGCCACCACTAGTGCAAACCACACTTCTCAGACTCCCTTTTTAGCCAGGTGCTGTCATATGACTAAGTTTGGACCAATGGAATATGTGTGAATATAATGTGTGCAATTCCAGAGTCATCTTCTTAAAGGTGTTTGCCCTGGATTTTTCTTTTTCTCTTCTGATGGTGGGGAATGACATGAACCACAGCCGACATCTTGGAATTATTAGCAGGGTAGAACCATCCATGTGCAAAAGACCCTATTCTACGTTTAGACTTTTACACGATAGAAACGTAGACATGTATCACAAAAGTTATCACTGTAGAAACTGCAAGTTCATAGCATTAATTCATCAACATATTCCAGGCCCTGCTAATAGAAAATGATATTATTTTAAATCAATGGGTTTTTGAACACTTTTTTATAAAACAGCCCAATATACAAAACAAATAATGGCTGACCTGTTCAAGTAAATCTGCCCTTTCTCACCCACTTTAACCTTAGGTAGTTCTTCAGTTGTTAATGGAAAATCTAGGGACATTCTGATCATAGTATCAAAACCGCTGTCTTAATAATATTCATGTAATGTTTGATAATCTCATGCCATTTTATCTGCTTTATTTATTATTTATTTGTTTAGAGACAGAGTCTCACTCTGTCGCCCAGGCTGGAGTGCAGTGGCATGATCTCGGCTCACTGTAACCTCTGCCTCCTGGGTTCAAGCAATTCTCCTGCCTCAGCCCCTCAAGTAGCAGGGATTACAGGCACATGCCACCAAGCCCAGCTAATTTTTGTATTTTTAGTAGAGACGAGGTTTCTCCATGTTGGCCAGGCTGGTCTCAAACTCCTTACCTCAGGTGATCCGCCTGCCTCAGCCTCCCAAAGTGTAGGGATTACAGGTGTGAGCCACTGCACCCAGCATCTGCTTTTTTTATAAGCCTCATAATAAGTTTGAAAAATATTTTTCTTTCAACTTTACAGGTTAGAAACTTTGTAGTTATATATCAAAGGCCAAACATATAGCTACCAAAGGAGAGATGACTGACAAAGAAGGACGAGTGGTTTTTCTACCATTCTTCCCTTGTACCATAAGAATTATGAACAGTTGTTAGCTAGCATTTAAGGCTACTTAATAAAAAATATGTGTACATAAAACTTCACTTTGAGAATAAAGTATTGCTGCTAAAATCAGATTGTTTCCAATTACGAAAATATAAAGTACATGAATATTGACAGCATGGAATATAGAAAAATAACATAGATGTCTTATAGTTTCTATTTAGTTTATAATTTTTAAATTATCTTCTCTAATTATTTGTTTTAACAAAAATATTTGGATGATCAAATGATACCATTTTATTACAACTACTTTTAATTTGTTTAGAAATTTTAGTAAAGAGGGAAAATATGAGCGATAATTTCATTTTGTATTCAAATAGGACAATGTGATAATGAACTGTGACACTCAATTCACATTTTGTAGCTAAACACATAGGCTTTTCATTCTTGTGTTCTTCCTGTGTACTACTTTCCTACATAAAAACCATCAGTAAAATGTCTCATCAGTAGTAAAATGCAAATATTCAAAAAGTGTTATAACTCATTATTGTTGGTATTAAGTGATTAATAACTGTCTTTTGAGTGTCTCCTGATTTTGCTATATTCTATTGTTGGCAAACATCTTCAGTGACAAAATGATCCAAGAATACTTTAAAAGAATCGAACAAAATTGGAGTACCATTACACATGAAATTTTGTTGAGTACCATCCTGTCTTTGGATGGAAAGTAGGTTATTTAATATATATCTACTACCTTTGAGATGTAGTTTTTAATTTGGAATTCAGATATATTCCAGAAACAAAAGTAATATTCACTTGAATTTATAAGCTTAATCAGTTGGATATACTCAAAGGAGAAACTGATCTGTCTTTATAGAATTCTCTACTGATCATTTCTTTAGCATTTGATGTCAATGGTAGATGTCATTCTTCATTTGCCCTATTGAGAATACTTTCTCAAATGAATAAAAAATAATTTTCTCACGATTGCCCTGGGAAGAATGGCTTGGTTCAAGATATATTTTAGCTGATAAATATTATGAAATTATTTTGAACTCTGCAGTATATTCATGGGCTCTTTTATATATCCCCATTTGGAAAATGCAAATATCTTTAACCTTTTTTTTGTTGTTGTTGGATCTAGCTTAGTATTGAATGTTCTTGTTCTTAGTCACTAATATAAAAATGCAATATATTAAGTCCCTAGGGTGCTGCAGTTAGCAATGTACAAGGTATTATCAATTAGACAATAAATAAGTAAATAATTGCTGCAGGCCTATGTACTCTCTCTCTATATATATAAAATATGCAAATATGTATAGGAAATATAGTGTAGATAGAGCACTCATACTTGACTTACAAAATAAATATTTTTCAATGTGTATTGGTGCAAGCACCCTTATATACATATGCTTTGCATTAGACACTCAAAAAAAATTGGATTATGAAACTGTTTCTTTAGTAATGACTACAACTTCCTGAGGGGGACCCCTTTCTAGAGCTATTGACTCCAGATATTAAAACCAGGTACCTGCCTTGGTACTTTAAGGTTAGCTGTTGCTAATTTTAGACTTACTACATTCCTACTCTATGCATTGCTTACAACTTTATAAACAGTCCTTTTTGGAGTTTTCCTCAGTAACCCTTTGTGAGTGGTCATCTCTTTCCTGCCAGGGTCCTCAGGGAGGCAGCATGCCAGTTGGCTTGATTCATCAAATTCCAAACCCCTTGGGGTTGGGTGAATGATGGTCCCCTAAAGATGTCCAAATCCTAATCCCTGAACATGTGAATATTGTAACTTATACTTTGCAAATGTGACTAAGGTTCTTGAAATGGGAAGATAATCTTATATTATCTGAGTGGGCCTGCTGTAATCACAAGGGTCTTCATAAGAGTGTGGCAGGAAGGTCAACGTCAAAGAGAGAGAGATGTAAGGACTTAAGCAGAGGTAGGAGAAAAGAGAAGATGCTGCTGCTCGCTTTAAAGATGGAGGACGAGGACTCCTAAGAAATGCAGTCGGCCGGGCGCGGTGGCTCACGCCTGTAATCCCAGCACTTTGGGAGGCCGAGGCGGGCAGATCACGAGGTCAGGAGATCGAGGCCATCCCGGCTAAAACGGTGAAACCCCGTCTCTACTAAAAATACAAAAAATTAGCCGGGCGTAGTGGCGGGCGCCTGTAGTCCCAGCTACTTGGGAGGCTGAGGCAGGAGAATGGCGTGAACCCGGGAGGCGGAGCTTGCAGTGAGCCGAGATCCCGCCACTGCACTCCAGCCTGGGCGACAGAGCGAGACTCCGTCTCAAAAAAAAAAAAAAGAAATGCAGTCAGCCTCTAGAAGCTTGAGAATCAAGGACCCCCGGAAGTAATGCAGACCTACCAACATCCGGGTTTTAGACTTATGACCTTCAGATATGTGAGAAAATACATTATTTTTGTTTTAAACCACTAAATTTGCAGTAATGTGTTACAGGAACAGTAGGAAACTAATAAGTGTGCTTTTAAAGACTTCCCTTTTCAAGACAATTATTCTTTTTATCACATCTCTATTCTGCTAAAAATAATCTGTTTTAATATAATTTTTTGTACCTCTCATTTGAAGTCTATCCTAAAAATGTAGCTTTTAAACTTGCATTAAAACATTCAGTCATATTTAGAGAAAGATAGAGATGGAAATGATAGTTACATCAAAGAAGTTAATGCCACAGAAATTCCACTGAGGAGGATTACACATAATCATAAATCTATCCAATCCACGTAAGTTTTGTGTTCTTTGAAATGTATTTAAAGGCCTTTGCCTGAGAAAGGGATGCTGAAGGCTATCACATTCCAGAGAATTATTTCCAGTTTGTACACTTCTAAATACAGTTTTCTAAACTAAGTATAAAATCATATTTAGTTACTAGGAAATATATATTTATAAAATAGCATGGAAATAACCTCTGGGAGTAAAACGACTCCAAGACCCAGTAAGGGTTAAACTTTCATTCATAACTCAGTAAAGACAATTAATGGTTACTTCTAGGCTTGTGAGGTTTTTTTTGTACATAACAAAAACTGTTGTATACATTTTGTTATATAATAATTGTTATATACATTTTGTTATATAACAGTAACTTAGAAATGAGAACAATTAGCAATGTCTAGAGCTGCTCAAGTCGCAAAGCAACAGGGGTGTTGAAAAGTCTTACTGTTACCTCCCCTGAAGAGTCTTTCCTGAAAAGTTTTACTCTTACCTCCTCTGAAGAGTCTTCCCTGCTCGCATCCAAAGTTCTAGTAATTTAATATTTCCAAATTGGGAAACATTAACATCCTATTCTCTTCCCCCATAGCCTTTTGCGCATGCCTTTATCATAATACTGCTTATAGTATTAATAACGAGGTGGGCATAGAGTTCTATACTGTGGCTGATACTGTGTTAAGTATTTTATACCTATCATCTTCTTAATTACAACAAATATTTGTCGCTTTTTTTAAAAAAAAGTAAATAAACTCAGGTTAGGTGACTAGATAAGTATCAGAACTTCAACTCAAATCCAAGACTGCCAAGGTCAAAACATTACTTTTAACTCCCATGCTCTACTGACTGGCCATATTGTATTTTATCAGTTGTTTACCTGTGTGTTTGATGCCCCAGCCTGAGATCAGAGATTATATCCCATATTTTAGTATTTCTCATTCATGGAACTTTGCAGTGATACATAATAGATGCTCAACAGACATATAAAAGAGCTTACAATTTCCAAGTTGTTTTTGATGCTTTACAAGAGGTTTAGTTAGGATGTACATTACATAAAAATTCTATTAAAACCTGTCCAGGTATTTTTAAAGGAGAAAAACCCCAATCAGCTTTGACTGACATCATTGCAATCTATGCAATCTGCCTTAGAAAAATTTAGGACAGAGAATCAATTGAGCTTGATGTAGAAATAAAACCTTTTAAGCCAAAACCCTAAAGTAAGATGATAACATCTTACATGCTAGGTAGAAGTGATTTGACTTAGGCATGCTAGCTAAATTACCTAGGCCTAGGCCTTGAGAATGTCTAGGTGTTTTAGATTTTCATCATAACTTAATTCAAAGGCAAGGGTTTATTTTAAACAGAGGAAACTTTAGAACGTAGAGGACTGACATACTATTTCCCAAAATAGTGTATTACAAGTGTGCAGCCTTGTCCAGATGGTGCAATGTGTATTTTATATATTTTGACATCTGTGAATAAAAAATCTTGACTTGTTATCAAAATAAGCACAGAAAAATAATTTCCATGTCATCGTGAGAAAAATAACGTTATAATATAACTGCTTCTTTTGGTGGAATTTAAGGAAAGAAGAGAGAAACCAAGAGAGACAGATAGAGAAAGCGAAAGAGAGAGAGAGAGAGAGAGAAATTGAGAAATGATAGATATAGACCAAGAACTAATGCGCAAGCTGAAATAGGTGTAAGAATGCATTATATTTCAATTATCTCTCCTAAACCATTGTACTCAGCCTATTTGGATGTATTCCTTTTTTTTTTTTTTCTTTTCTCTCTTTATTTATTTATTTATTTTTTACAAGGCATCATTAAACCTGCAAGCTCAAACTGGAACCAAATATATACTACAAGGTTATAAATATAGGGTATATATTCAAATTCCCATGAGTAAAACAGGCTTTTTTTGTTTGTTTTGGTTTTATATTCTAAATTACGTATTCTGAGTGCAAGCACATGCTGAGTTATCTGGAATATACCATCATTTAATTGTCTCCAACATATTGTGATTAAAGGCATTTAACCGTCTCTTGAATGCCCAGAAAAAGTAATTGGCTTAACATATTAAAATACACTTAGGTGATAAAGTAACCATTTGAGTGAAATTTACATTTAAAGAAATATTAAATCTAATCCTATTAACTTCTTTTTATGATAGCAAATGTTTTCACTTTGTTCCCTGAAAGACTAAATTTCTCTCCTCCTCTTTTGAGGCACCTTTTGTTACCCACAGGCAATTTGAAACCTTCTCAAATCTCAGTCTGCTGGTATTTCTAGGCCTCCCTAGGTTCTGCAAAACAGTATATGTAGTTGCTCCTCAATCATCTTATTGTAGTGTACTGCCTAAACACCCATTGGAGACATGGAAGATTCATATGGTATGATTCTGCCTTTTAGAAAGTACCATGCTGTTGTGACACCTTATATAAAATAAGGCATTTTTATTATTTTTGGGTCAGTAATTTTACAATGCTGTATCATGGGAATCTCTCTCCAACATGCAGAAATACGTCATCTGAAATCTACAATATTAGTCATTTTCTAAGAAACTCTTGACTTAAGAACTGGCCTATTTTACTTATAGGGCCATGTTATGCCTGCCTGCAGGTGCATGGATAAAAATTAACATAAAAGAAAAATTGGAATTTTACCAGCATAACCATTCAAAAATCACAGCTTTTACAAGTAGTATGCTTGAGAGTACTTACCCCTAAAATGCAGAAGAAAACTGAACAGAAGTAATGTTTCAAATTACATATATACACAATTATATATAATTACAATATATGTAAATAAATACAATTATATATATATATAATTTCTAATTGTAGTAAAATACACATAACATCAAATTTATCTTAACCATTTTAGGTGCACAGTTCAGTAATGCTAAGTATATTCACATTATTGTGCAACCATTTCCCTATCTCGTTTTATCTTGAAAAACTGAAACTCTTTTCCCATTTAACAATAAACTCCTAATTCTCCCCTCCCCTCACCCCCTGGTGACTTTTGCACTATTTTCTGTCTCTATGAATGTTACTACTATAAATACCTCATATAAGTGAAATTATACAGTACAGCCATCCCTTGGTGTCCATAGGGGATTTGTTCCAGGACTACAGATACCAAAATCCACAGACACTCAAATCTCTTATATAAAATATTGTAGTATTGCATAGATCCTATGCACATCCTTGCATATATTGGAAATCATCTCTAGATTACTTATAGTACAAGGTAAATGCTATGTAAATAGTAATACTGTATTTTTAGGGAATAATGACAAGAAAAAAAAGTCCGTACCTGTTAATTCTTTGTTTCTGGAATATTTTCGATCATGGTTCGTTGAATTGACAGATGTATAAACCATAAAAATGGAGGACTGTTTGTATTCGTCTTTTAATAAACTTTATTTCTAGAGAAGTTCACAGAAAAATGGGGCAGAAGCTACAGAGATTTCCCTTATGCTTCTTTCCCTATGTATGCACAGCCTGTCCCACTGTCAACATCCTTCACCAGAGTGTCGCATTTGCACAACTGATAAACCTGCATTGGCACATCATTTTCACCTAGAGTCTATAGTTTACATTAGGACTCAGTATTGCTGGTGTAGATGCCATGAATTTGACCAAATGTATCATGATATGTATCTACCATTATAGTGTCTTACAGACTAGTTTTACGATCCTAAACATCCTTTGTTCCAACTGTTCATCCTGTCCTTTCCCTACCCCCTGGAAACCACTGATCTTTTTACTCTCTCCATAGTTTTGCCTTTCCAGAGTGTTGGAATCATACAGTATGAAATCATACAGTTGGAATCATACAGTGTGCAGTCTTTTCAAACTGGCTTTTTTTTCGCTTAGTATCTTACCCATTGAATACATGTTACATTATCTTACCCATTGAATACATATTGCTCTGTTAAGTTTTCTCCATGTCTTCTGATGGCTTGATAGCCCATTTCTTTGGTATACTCTCTGAGATTTACATTCCTATCTAGAAGTAATTTTAAAGCTCTCCTATCTATGTTTGAAATTTTAAGATGTGTAACTTATACCCTAAAATATATAGTGCACCATTTTCTCATTTTATTTTCTTACTCATTATGTCTCAAATATTGGATTAACGTTATCAGCTGAAGGGAGAGATCCATCCATTGTCTGGGTGGACCACAGTTTATTTATCCATTCACCAACCAAAGAACATCTGGGTTGCTCCCAAGTTTTGGCAATTATGAAGAAAGATGCTGTAAATATCTGTCTTCAGGTTTTTGTGTAGATGAAAGTTTTCAACTCTTTTTGGGTAAATTACAAGGAGCATGGTTGCTGAACTGTATGACAAAATATGTTTAGTTTTATAGGAAAGCACTGACCTGTCTTCCAAAGTGGCAATATCATTTAGCCTTTCCACCAGCAATGAATGAGATTTTCTGTTGCTCCATATCCACACCAGCAGTTGGTGTTGTCAGTGTTCTGGATTTTGACCATTCTGTTGGGCGTGTACTGGGGTCTCCTTATTTAAACTTGCATTTTCCTAATGACATATGGTATGGAGTATCTTTTTATATGTGTATTTGCCATCTGGATATCATCCAGAAGTAATCATTGTAATGTGTTTATGGCTAGGCTGCTAAAATCACTGTTAATAACTTATGATGCCTTAATTTGAAATAATAGAAATTCTAGATGTAAACTGTTTCAATAGTGGAAGGACTTATTTTTATACTTAAAAGGAGCTGAGGCAGAGTGCCTACAGGGCTGGTTAATTCAATTGTTCAGTGCCATCACAGGAAGCCACATCTCTTTCATTTTACATTGTCCATGATCGGTGTTGTTGACTGCCTTTTGCTAACTTCCTCCTGTTTGAAAGATAGCTGCCAAAATTCTAGGTGGAAATGCAGATATATTAATACTGAGCAGAAAAAAAGACAGGCCTTATCTTCTTTCTTTTAATTGGTGAGGATACCTTTTCCAGCACCAGCCACATTCTTAGCATTCATGACTTATTGCCAGATAGGGCCACATTCCATGGTAAATCAATCACCTCCAGAGAGAATGTGATCACCAGGCTACATTAAGATCAATCAGTTAAGCATATGGCATCTGGAAACCTATTGCAAAGGAAGAAAGAGATGGAAAGAAATGTTAGAAGGAAAAACCGTAGGGTACACAATGCTATTCTACAATGTCATGTAAAATAAGTACCCAGTGAACAGGGTAGTAACTAAATTTCAAATGATACAAAAAGTATAGTTGTTTATTTTATGTAATTAGTGCTTTCTCAAAACATTGATTAACATAACTCACTAAGATGAGAAATTTATGTAGAGATAACCACACATTTTAATTTCGTGAAGTTAAAATGTGTCTTAAAGGAACGTAGACTAACAGATCCAGTCTATCCTTGCATTTCTCAGCACACCACCCTTCTCCCTCCCAAATAATTGGGAAGTGATCTGTCTACATGTATTCTAGATTTAAGCTCTTGGCTTTACACATTGAAAACAATCTGATGTTTTACAGTCTAAAACTATATCCCTTATAACTAACCATTGATTTTCTATTGACTTTTTTTTATTAGTTGTTCATTATTACATGCATTAAAATGTTTGGTAATCTGGGGGAAATTATTGGTACATATATATTTCCCTAAGATAAAATTAAATGTGAGTAAAATATGTATGATGTACATTTTATGAACAAAGAAATATATTTATTGAACAGAAATCTATTTAAATAATTTTTTTGTCTTAAATGACACAAAGTCAGAAGTTCATCCCTTGACGAATCTACTAACACTTCGAGAACACGCAACCTAGCTTCATCCATGCTGTATCTATTAAAAGAAGAGGGGGTTGTGTTCCCTATTCCTGTCATCAGACAATTTGAAAAGCTTTTCCCACAAGTGAAAGTTCAGCTAAATCCTAGCTTTAACAGTTAACATGCATTTCATTTTAGTTTTGCCCATGACTGGGTCATAACTTTCACATAACCTCTGCTCCAAGGTCTCTCACAGAAGGTATATAGTATGAATGACACTATCATTCTTACATCAAAGTTTCTATTTTCAAAATAGAATAGCCTGCATGTAAAACTAGGTCAACACTGGTATAATTCTACAGGGTTTATTCTTTCTTTTAAGTTTAAAATAGTTCAAAAGAGATTGCATGTGGCCCTGCTATCTGTAGCTCGGTGGTTGGTGAGTGATAGTACATTCTCTGAGATTTGCATTCAACTAGGAGGTAATTTTTTTAAAAACACTCACACCTATATTTGAAAATTTGAGAAGTGAGTCATACCCTAAAATACAGTGCCCTGTTTTCTCTTTTAGTTCCCTCATTCATTGTATCTCAAATATTGGATTAAAGTTAAAGCTCTTGCATTGTGTTATGAGAAGACAAAAAGAGGTAGATGCTCTGAAAAGGTCATACTTGGTTTTCTCAATAAGGGAATTTTGCAGTACTTGTGCATTGAAACTAAGCTAGAAATATTTTTTGAAGAAGATTTAAAATTTAAATGTCCAAGAAAATTTATTTTTTTTCCTTCCCTAGGATTTTTTTTTTAACCATAAAATATTCCCTCCTTAAATAGCCCCCATTCTGTTGTGGAGAAAGAGAGCAGCTGTTTGCCTGTATTATCCACTTGTGAATTTTCACCCTTATTCAGTTTTACCCATATGGCAACCTAAAAGCTACTATGAACAAATTATCTAGGCCCTTATCCAAGACTCTAATATGAGTCGTGCTAATTAAAAACAAAGGGATAGATAAGTTTGTGTTAAACAGTCATAGGAGACACCAAACTGCTTTTCTAATGTATACATTTTCAGAAAACTGCAAGAATATTATGCTAATTCAGAATGTATTTCCTCCATTCTTTTGGAATCTTAAAAAATACGTCAGCATTACTCTTATTCTTATTGTACTATCATTATTACTATTATCACTACCTTATGCAATACAATGGTGGATTATCTCAGGAAATATGAAAGGAAAAATAAAAATGATAAAGAAGTCTACTCTGAAGGCTTTTTATCCTAGGAATGCTCATTTACCTAGCCATGGTTGAAACTTATATCAAAAGTGGTTGATGGGACGTTCTTCATGACTTTAATTCTTTTGCTTAAGGGGACTTTAGGCAGAGTCATATCATATCTTTCTTTGGAATTACCACATGGTCTTAAACTGGCCATGTAATGTCCTTAATCCAATGAACTCATCATCGAAACGCTGGTGGGAGCCAAGAAAGGAAAAATTAGCTGGAAATGAGATACCAAGGAGCTGGAGAATATTGCTTTCATCATAAGTAGCTCCTTTATAGGGTGTTTACATAGTTGCTTTAAAATTGACATAATATTTGCAATTATGTCCTAAACAATATTTTACATCTCACCCTGTTTTTCCTGTTTAGCAGAGCCATTTCCATGATTTGTTGGCTCATTTTTATGTTAAATATTTTCACAAGAATGGCTTCTTGACATCAGGGAGTCAGTCAGATATAATGGAGTTCTGCTAACAAGCCTCATAAAAATGTAGGAAGCAGATAATAAATCAGACTTATATACTTCATAGATAATAACTTGAAATTTGGAATAATTAAGTATCTAGCACACTACAGCACTTGTGAAACATTAAGAGCTTGGTGCAAACAGAAAAAAATGTCCACCCATATTTAAAGCTGATTTCCTTTATTAAATGAAATCACCAGGTCTCTATGCTGACACATTGGCCATCCTAACTTAGAAATATAGTATAGAGTCCTAAGGGTAACTGCTGGAATGATGACTATTTCTTGGTGTTCTTTCGGAAGCTGGCTAGGTAAATAGAAGCGATGTCAAGTAATTGAGCCACAGCTGGTCAGGACATTTCATTAGCAGCATTACTATCAATCCTTGGTTAAAAGAGTAAATGGAAGTACTATGAATTAGTAATAGCTCTTAGAGCTGAAAGTGTGGTTCACACTTTGCCTTAGGGAAAGAAGTTTGAGAAAGGCAAAGAATGACTGAGAATACTCATCCTTTTTTTTTTTTTTTTTAAATTTTTCCACAGGAGTTGATTTCTCTACTAAAAGCAATACCCACAACATTGAACCCTTGATATAAAACCTGATACTGAATTTTCCACAAGGTCACCTATATTTAAGTAACATATTCAGGATTATATAATATGAGAGTTAAAGCAGAATAATGAGAGTAAACAAAAATTGCAGTGCTAATGATACTTCGATTTGCATGGCATTTTTCATCAGCTAATTCAAAAACAATTGAATCTCTTAAAAACTGAAATGTTTTTAAAGAAAATGGCTGACTTTCAGTTAAAATTTTACTTTTTTAAAAAACTAACCCTGAAACTTCTACTTTAGTTCTATATTCAAACATAAAATACTCCACTTAAAAAAATTTGCACCTCGTATGCTATCAAGGGCCTTCATATTTTATTTTATATGTATATATTCAAATAGGAATTCACTTATATTTGTTCAAAATGTATTAGGAAAAATCAATGTGTGGTCAGTACACACTGCATGTGAATTGTAAACAGATATTTAGTGTGTGAATATTGTCATTGATCCACTCATTTTTACCAAGTGATTTCTAGTTGCTAATACTAAGCTATACTGCATATTGCCAATGTTTTACCTGGTTTTAGAGCAAAGCCACATGACCAAAACCAAAAGGGAGAAAGAGGCCTTCTACTTCTATATTTATAGCCATTCACATTCACACATGTATATACATAAACAGTCAAGTCTACCATCATGCAAATGCTTAGAGCATGTCAAATTAAATCCCATCAGGGTACAAATCAATTTTCCTATTTTAGCTTTTTTCATTTTATTTTTCTACCATAAGGAGTACAGAATCCTAATCAATTCTAACTCATCAAATTTTAGCAGAGTAGTTAAAAGAACAGACTGAAGTATGAGACAACTGAGATTTAAATCTTGACTGCCACTTAACAGACTCTGTGAATGTGGAAAGCTACTTTAAGTTTTAGATTTCATTTCTCTCATGTCTAAAATGGACATAGAAGCTCAGAAAGCTTTGGAAAGAAGAATTGCTCAAAAACATAAGCTACTGTTAATGAAATGATTATTATTTCACAAATTTTAGCTTTCAATTATTATTTCTTACAGAGACTTGAGGAAGCAAAACTAAAGCAAAATTAAATAAACAACCTCAATGAGTTTATAGCTTAACCGAATATTAAAATAAAAGAAAATTGGAACATATTAAGTTAATTTGTAATTCAAATAAATAGGCTAACCACACTGAACGTGTACTTAGTGTTTGATGAACAGGCGTTCTTACCTTTATTTAGTCCATTTCACTGTTCTTTACCTGTCTGAATAGTGCTTTGTATGCATTATTAATAAACAAACAAAAACTTTCCCTCTGTGAAATCCCAAAGACTTTTATTTTAAAATTGAAATATAATTAACTTAGCATAAAATTTATTTTTTAAAGTGTAAAACTTAGTTGGTTTTAGTATATTTACAAGATTTTAAAAACATTACCACTATCTTATTTTAGAATGTTTCATCACCTCAGAAAGAAATTTCATACATATTAGCAGTTACTCTCCTTTCTTTCCTCCTTCCCACCCCCACCCCAACCCCTGGAAACCACTTATCTACTTTCTGTCTCTATAGATTTGCCTATTCTGGGAAACTAATATTAATGGAAGGATTCAAGATGTGGATTTCTGTGCTTTGATTCTTTCATTTAGCATAATGTTTCCAAGTTTCATCCATGTTGTAGTATGTATCACTACTTCATTTCTGTTGGTGGTTGAATTATATTCAGTTTTATGGATATGCCAAATTGTGTTTATTAATTTATCCATTTATCCATTGATGAGCATCTGGATTGTTTTCACCTTTGGATTTATGAATGATGCTGCTAAGAACATTTGTGTGGCCAATATTATCACTTCTCTCAGGGATATATATAGAAGGTGAAATACTGTGTCGTGTGGTACTGCTATGTTTTAACTTTTTGAGAAACCGCAAAACCATTTACCCAAGGGGCCACACAATTTTTCATTCCCATAGTAATATATGAGTTCCATTTTCTCCATATATCTGTCAACACTTGTTGTTGTCTGTATTTTTCACTAGAGCCATTCTAATGGGTGTGAAGTGGTATCTCATTGTGATTTGGATTTACATGTTCCTAGTGTTAATCATGTGTAACATTTGTTTTTGTATTTATTTGCCATTTACATATCTTCTATAGAGAAATATCAATTGAAATCCTTTGCCAATTTTTATTGGGTTGTCTTTTATTGTTGAGCTATAAGAGTTCTTTATATATTATGGATATAAACTTTTTCAGATATGTAACTTACAAATATTTTCTTCTGTAGGTTTTCTTTTCTTTTTCTTGATGGTGGTCTTTGAAACATGGAAGTTTTTAATATCTGTGAAGTACAATTTATTTATTTTTTATTTTGTTGCATGTCAAAGAAACAATTGCCTAATTCAAGGTCATGAAGACTTAGACCTATATTTCCTTCTATAAACTTTATATTTTTAGCTCTCACATTGTCTTTAATCCATTTTGAATTAATTGTTCTATATGGTGTGGGTAAGGGCCCAACTTTATTCTTTTGCATATAAATATTCAATTGTCTAATAATCATTTATTGAGAAGGTTTTTATTTTCCTATTGGATTATTTTGGCACACTTGTCAAAAATTAATTAGCAATAAATATAAGAGTTTATTTCTGGAATCTCAATTCTATTTTATTGATTCTTATATTGATTCTTATGCCAGTACCACACTGTCTTGATTACTGCTTCTTTGTTATAACTTTTGAAATCATAAAGTGTGAAATTTCTGACTATTCTTATACATCGAGTTTCTTTTGATTATTCTAGATTCCTTGAATCTTCATATAAGTTTTTAGATCAGCTGGTCAATTTGTGAGAAAATGGGTAGCTAAGATTTTTGGTGAGTGTGACATTGAAAATGATCTGTAGACCAATTTGTGGAATATTACCATCTTAACAATATTAAATCTTTCAATTCATGAATATGGGATGTTTTTTCCATCCATCCATCCCTCCATTATAGGAGTCCATTCCATCATGGGCTCCTATAATTTCTTTCAGTTATCTTTTTTTTTATAACATTTAGATGTTTGGAGTACAAGTCTTGCATTATTTTGTTAGGTTATTCATAAGTATTTAGTTCTTTTTGATGCTATTGCAAATGAAAGTAATTCATTAACTTCAATTTATAATTGCGAATTCTAATATAGAGAAATATAGCTTACAGTTGCCTTTTAATCATGTATTGTGCAACCTTGCTGAACTTTGTTTTTTAGTTCTAAGTTGTTATATGTGGATTCTTTAGGGCTTTCTGAATGTAAAATTGTGTCATCTGTAAATAGAGATAAGTAAACTTTTTCATTTCTAATCTGGGTACCCTTTATTTCTTTTTCTTGCTGAATTGCCAGTTGCTAGAGCCTCCAGTACAATATTGAATAGAAGTAGTCAGAGCAGGCACTCTTGTCCTCTTTCTCATCTTGTTCTTTCTTAGGGGAAATGTTTTAGTCTTTAACCTTGAAGTATAGTGATAGATGTGGGTTTTTATAGATGTTTCCTTAGCAGCATGAGTTTTCCCATCAAATTTGTCAGTTTTTACTTCATGTATTTTGGGGATATAATGCTACATGCATATATATTTATAATTTTATGACTTCTGAATTGACACTTTTTTGTCTTAAAGTCTACTTTGTCTGATACTAGTATAATGTTTCATCTCTCACTTTTGCTTTCTTTTTTTTTTTTTTTTAATTGATGGAGTCTCGCTCTGTCGCCCAGCCTGGAGTGCAGTGGCGCGATCTCAGCTCACTGCAAGCTCCACTTCCCGGATTCACACCATTTTCCTGCCTCAGCCTCCCGAGTAGCTGGGACTACAGGCGCCCGCCACCACACCCGGCTAATTTTTTGTATTTTTAGTAGAGACGGGTTTTCACCGTGTTAGCCAGGATGGTCTTGATCTCCTGACCTTGTGATCCACCCGCCTCAGCCTCCCAAAGTGCTGGGATTACAGGCATGAGCCACCATGCCTGGCCTCAGTTTTGTTTTTATTAACTTTTCAAGCTCATGATTACCTTTCACACTTTAATGAAAAATTAATCTGAAATTGACTTAGTGTATGGCATGAACGAAAGGAATTTTTTTCTCTCACAGTGTTCTTGTATGGATTGCCAAATGGCCATGCAACACCATTTACTGCAATAACCATTCTTTCCTCACATCTGCTGTGCTTTTTCTTCATAAATCAATGATCCATTTATATATGCATCTGTAAATAGCCCCTTAAAAATTTGTCTATTTTTCTATCCTTGCATTAAAACCGCAATATCTTTATATGGCTTTAGGTAAGCCTTTATATCTATATCCCATGTTGTCTTCTTTAAGAATGGCTTAGTGATTCTTTATTCATTATATTTTCTACATCACTACTCAAATTTGTTGTACATATACATAGACCAAACATGATAGAAATATATTGAAATTACATATCAATGTTAGTCTGATTCTTATTTACCAATTCCAGGCCTTCAAAGTCATGAAAACAGTATATATTTTTCTATTTATTTAGATTTTTAAAAAAATTATAATGTTTTTTAAATTGCTTTGTAGATATTTTGCACTTATGTTAATTTTTAATATTTTCATTTTTAAGAGCAGGTCTAGTTTTACAGCAAAATTGAGATGGAGGTACAGAGATTTCCCATATCCTTGCTGCCTAAGCACATGCATAGCCTCTTCCATTATAAATACCCCCAGCAGAATGGCCCGTTTGTTTTAATTGATAAATGTACATTGACACATCATTATCACCCAGTGTTCATGGTTCAAATTAGGGTTCACTCTAGGTATTGTATATTCTCTGGGTTTTGACAAATATGTCATTACATGTATACCCCATCATAGTGTCATATAGACTAGTTCCACTGCCCTAAAAAATCCTTTGTGCTCTGCCTATTGGTCCCTTTCTCCCCCAACCCCTTTTGTTAATGTTTTAATGGTATATTTCAAATTTCACTTAAATTTTATTAAAAATTAATTTGATTTGATATAGTGTTTTTTTAAAATTGATTTTTTTCTGTATCAAACTACCTTGCAAAATTTCCTCAACATTTATTTGTCATTTCGAAGTGTCTTATATTTACAATTATATTATCTGTGAATAATGCCCATTTTAATTTCACTACACTTACTATGTTATTTATTTATTTATTTTCTTATGTTAGTTCTCTTGCTGGGACCATCAGTATAATATTGAATTAAAGTGGTGGTCATGAATATCTTTGTTTACTTCTCAATCTTAAAAGGAATGTTTTCAACATTTTACAAATTATGTACACTCATCAGATCAAATCATTTTTCCTCTAGTTCTTGTTTGCTAAGGATCATTACCATGAATATATGTGAATATTAAATAGTGTTTTGGTCTATATTGAGAAGATCAGATATTTTAAGAATTTGTTACTGTGTTTAAAAATGTTGAAGTCACATAATCTTTGCTATTATATTAACATATTATGTGTATTATAGCAGATAGATAGCAAGTAGGTAAGTTATACTTACCAACATTGAGATAAATTATAGCTTGACAATAATAATTTTAAAATATGTTTTGGATCATTTTAAAAATTAAAAGTGAAACAAATTTTTGGAAATTTCTTTAGTGACTTTAATATTAACAATGAAGTAAAGATATAAATAGATGCCATAGAAATGTAGAAGACCATAAGAATACATTACGATTAGCTTTGTATCAATCAATTTTTAAATGTGGATGAAATACACTAAGAATCACAAAAATATAAATTTCCAAGATTCACATCCATTGAAGCAGAAAATCTAAAGAATTCTGTGTCTATAACGTAAATTTAATAAATCATTATGGAACTTTCTGCAAAGAAAATTTCAGACCCATTCTCATTAGTGAATCCTAGCTAATATATATTTTTAAAGTAATGCCTATTGTATTAGTTTTCCATTGCTGCCATAAAAATTATCACAAATTCAGTGTCTTTAAACAGCATAAATGTATTGTCTTACTGTTCTGTGGGTCAGAATTCTGATGCATGCCTCATGAGTTAAAAATCAAGCAGGGCTAAGTTTCTTCCCTGAGGCCCTAGGTAGGAACATACTTCCTTGCCCTTCTCAGCTGTAAGAGCCTGCCCATATTGCCTGGCTGATGTCACTTTCTTCCATCTTTAAAACCAGCAAAGACGTGTCTCCTTCCACCTGTGCTCCCATCTTTCTTACTCTTTGCGGTTAGTATAGGTTCTTTACTTTTGAGGATTTATGTAGTCATATTAAATTCACCTGAATAATCTTGGCTGACTTCTCTCATTTCATGGTCCTCAACCTTGATCACATCTTCAAAGTCACCCTTTCCTTACAAAGTAACATTAGTCAGAGGTTCCAAGGATTAGAGCATGGACACTATTAGGGAGCCATTATTCTGCCTACTGCACTCATCTCTCCAAATATAAATAGATAGATGGATGGATGGATAAATAAATAGGTAGGTAGATATATATATACACACACACACAACTCATTTATGAATTCAACACAACAGGAATACCAAAGCCTGAAAAGGACATATGAACTGGAAAATCCCAGGCTAATCTCCTCATGAAAATAAAAGCAAAGCTCCAATACAAAATATTTAAAAATAAATAAATTATTTATTTATAAAAATATTAGTGTATTTAAGCAAAAGAGACTTTATTAGAGGAATCCTTAGATGTTTGATTTAGTATTTTTTAAAAAAAATCAGGTGAAGTAACCACTACATCATCAGAAAAAGTGATAAAAATATATGATCCAGTCAATAGAGGCCAAGATAAATTCAAGATCCAATCAAAATAGAAACTCTTTGCAAACCAGGATAACTGTGGGACTTTATTAATAAATCTTAATAAAAGTTAAATGTAAAAAGCTTTCTGCGAGCAGCATAATTGAGATGGACATATTGAAAACTCATTTTGAGAAAAAAAATAAGACAAAAAAGAACGTTAACACTACAGCTACTCAAGACTGAACCAGAGGTCTCAGTCGCTGCTATTAGACATTGATTCAAATTGTAAGAATTAGGAAGGCAATATTAAAAATCTTTGTATTAACATAAAATTCAGAAATTAATACATAAGTTATAATTAATAAGTGTAGCAATTACGCTGAATATAAGGTCACTATTTTTACATATTTACTAGATTAGCAGTTAAAACAGAGTAAAAATAAAATGAAATAAATTTAAAAATTAAGTCAGAAATGTCAAATATCAATGTATAAATGTAACCAAATATGGGCAAAACATCTATGCAGATAATTACAAAACTTTTTTGAGAAAAATTAAAGATTAAAATAGAGGAATGTTTCATGTGTGTGGATTGGAAGACTCAATATTATAAAATGTCAATTTAGCTGGACACAGTGGTGCACATCTGTAATCCTAGCACTTTGGGAGGCTGAGGTGGGAGGATCACTTGAGGCCATGAGTTCAAGACCAGCCTGAGCAACATGTGAGACCCTGTCTCTATAAAAAATGTACTTGGGTGATCATTCCACTATACTTCAGCATGGGTGACAGGGCAAGATTCTGTCTCAAAAAAAGTTAAGTATTTCCAAATTACATATTTATTTAATGTTATCTTAATAAACTCCAATTAGGTTTTTGTGGAAAGTGACATGATCAATCTAAACTTTATATAGAAGAAGAACATGCCAAAAATGGTCAAGACACTTTTGAATTTAAGACAAAAAATATGAGGATTTTAAAAAAACTATACTATATTAATTGAGAGTTTGTGATACGGTATAAAGAATAAAATATAAATTTGAAAATGAAAGAATAAAGACACCAAAACTCATACTCACAAACAATCAAAATTCACCAAGCAGAGTAGTCAAAAATGGGTGGTATTTTCAATCAGTGATTCTATAGAAAATTGACACCCAAATAGAAATTAACAAAATTATTTCCTGTATCACATCATACAGGAACTTTCACTCTAGAGTTAAAAATCTAGACATGCAAGCATAAAAACAGAACTTTAGAAGAGAACATAGGAGATGTAGAAAGGTACATTAAATAGAATGCAAGAAGAACTGACCATAGAAGAAAAGATTGAAAATCTGGAGAAATTAAAAATTAGTAAGACACTATTAAAGGAATAAAAGAACATGTTAAGAACATGTTACAGTTTTGCTGGAATTATTTATATGCCTTATAAATACTTGACAAATACTCATGTCCATAATATGAAGAGATGCTTCCAGTCAATAACATGCAGAAAAATAATCTCGTAGGAAGTTTACTGAAATTAGAATGGATACCTTGCAAAAGAGGCTAATAAAATGGCCAATAAAGACAAAATGGTGCTTATGTTCATTAGGCATTATGTAATTGCAAATTTACTCCAGAATGATATATGACTATATACACAACAGGATGTCTAAGTATAAGACAAACAAGCGTTGTGTTTAGCCAGAATGTGCATAAATGAGAACATGCATACTTAATGTGCATCAACTTGGGAAAATGATTAGGCATTGTCTACCTATGATGAAATCTGCATTAGCTTATAATCATCAATTCTATTCCTGGGTCATATCTAAAAGAAATACATGGGCATGTGCCCCAAGGGCACACACACAAGAATGTTTATGATGCATCTCTCATAACAGCTAACAATGAGAAACAAACCTAGTACCCTGTCAAATATATCATGCTTGATTCAGCAGTATAATAATATACAGATTTGAAGACTGAATGAAATATGCTACATCCAAAAATGTGGTTGGTTCCACAAACATAATGTTGAGTGGAAGAAGTAATAGAGAATATAATACACAGAATGGTCCCATTTATACAAAGATAAAACAGACATTATTAAATTGTAGTGTGAAGAGACACATGTGTATATAGTAAAACTAAAAACCTTGAGAAGAGAGAAAGCAATGAGGTAGCTACCATAAAAGTCAGGTTAGTGGTTACTTTTTTTTCTTTATTTTTTTTGAGACAGGGTCTTGCTCCATCACCTAGGTTGGAGGGCAGTTGCACAATCTTGGCTCACTGTAACCTCTGCCTCCTGGGTTCAAGTAATTCTCCTGTCTCAGCCTCCTGAGTAGCTAGGATTACTGGTGCCCGCCACCATGCCCGGCAAATTTTTGTATTTTTAGTAGAGATGGGGTTTCACTATGTTGCCCAGGGTGGTCTCAAACTCCTGACCTCAAGTGATCCACCTGCTTCAGCTTCCCAAAGTGCTGGGATTACAGGCATGAGCCGTGTCACTGCGCTAACCCAGGGTAGTGATTACTTTTATTCACAGCAGGGCATAGAGATGGGAAGGAGACAATAGAAAGAATTCTTTGGAGTGGTGGCAAAAATCTGTATTTTCTTCTTGATCTTGGTGATGGTTATATGAATGACTACTTTGGGATAATTCATTAAGCTGTAGCTATAGTTTTATTCGACTTATTGTATGTGTATTATACTCTGTTTCGAAAATGAGCATCATTTGTTTTGTTTTGTTTGTTATTAAAGAATATGAAAAACCACTTAATGGTTAGAACATTTTTCTATTTCTTTCTTAAGGAAAATACCATTCTCTCGGACCATTCTGTATCACCTCAGAGTGGAAGAGAAATGCTTATTGGAGGCTGTTCCTTAGGACATATATTTTCATAACTGGTTTTGAGTTATCTCAGATACAGATGAAACATATGAAAATATAAATGGCTTGGTAACTCTCAGATTTAAAATGTTTGGCATAAATTTAAATAATCATCTCTCAATAACAATTATAGAGTCTCTGTTTTCTATATTTTACATGTGCCATTAGGATATCACTTGGGAGAATATGTGTAACCCATGAAAAGAATGGGTAGAAGTTGTGTGACAAGATTTCTGTTCCGATATTAGAATTGAATTTCTTTAATCATGAACAAGTCCCGTGGAATAAATAGCTGAATTGTTCATGAAAGTGGAATCAGTTGAACATTATTTGTGTTAAAGGTCATTTATGTATTAATTTTTCAACTCTATAGGCAAAGTTATCTTCAGTAGGCTAGATGAGACTGTTTCAAAAGATGTATTATTTTATAATGGTGTTGTAGGTTTAACACCAAAGCAGAGATTCTGCACACCAATGAATATTATGCAAAATTATTTTACATACAGATTTTTAACTCACTTAGTTTCTTTCATGGCTTAAAAATCCTACAAAATATAATGAATTATGTAAAGAATATACATGCTAAAAAATCTATCTCATTGTCAAAAGCTGTGAGATACGAAGATTGTCCTGAGAGTGGTATAATTTAATAAAATATTTACAGGATTTGAAATCAATGAAGAGAACAGAGCTCTTGTCCCACCTCCTTTTCCATGGTGAAATTTCTTATCTTGTTTTGACCACAGATCCCCTTGTCATAAAACCAATGCATAAGATACAACTGCATCCAATGTATTCCAGGGAAAGATTCTCTGCAGATGACTCAAGGAAAGCCACAGGAGCAACAGGGAAACTGAAAGAACAAATATCACAGTTGATTCAGAAGGGCAGCCCCACATTTTTAAGGTTTGTATATCATGCTTTATGTAAATGCTCATTCAGATAGAGGTCCAGATGCTAAATTGAAAAAAATAATATTAATGATATTATAAAAGTTATTTGATTCAATATGATTTCAGAATGCTGTGAAATGGTTCTTAGTATCTAACATAATGCCTTTCATATTTTAACTACCTATTAAATATCTGGTGGATTTATAAAATATTAAGTTATCTCACAGTTATACAAAGGGATTATCATTCTCATATATGAAAATTCATCAAAGACCAGAAAATATAATAAGGTACTTTACTCTCTTGAGTCTTACAGATTTTAAAGCCAAAAGGGATATGAACATACATACCCCCCATCACCTACTTTATATGTGAGAAAAACAGAGTTCAAAGAGAATATGCGATCAGAACACAAGTTTTCAATGCCAAACACCATGTGCCATGTGTGAAAACAAACTGCTACCAATTAATCATTTGATTTTGAGCCCCTTTACCATAATCATTTGTAAAATGAAGAGACTAGACTAAATGAACTCTGGAGTCTCTGTCAGCTTAAAACTTCAGACTCTAAATCTTGATTATAATCCAAATAAATTTTGCCAAATGCTTTACATAAAAGTAAAGAATATTAAGGAATCCTCAGTGGATCCACTATGAGATATTTTTTGATCAAACTAATAATTATTGTTAATATATTTAAGAACAATACCTCAAAATGATTGTGAACTGTTAGGGGAAAGTTCACTAGTATTTCTTTATATCCCTTAGAGTCAGTTTCTTTTTGAAATTACTTTTATGCAAACAAAGAATCATAGAGCTATTGTAAGAATGGTATCTATAATTTCATCACCTAAAGATCACATACTGAGTTCTCTCAAATGAAATGTGTTTATAGATTTAAACTAGGTTGATTTTGAATTCATCATTCTAAAATAAATGCCTTAAATTTTAAAATGTATTTAAAATATATATTGGAAATTTTGTAGATTCTAAGTCAAAGTAATTTGAAATAAAAATTTTGACAAATTAAGATAATTTTGCACATATTTGTCTTGAATATAGCAGGAGATATTTACAAATATTTTAAATTCCTACAGTTCAACTTAAATTCTAATCACTACTTAAATATTAAAGCCAAAATACAATGATGGTAAAAGCAAATAATTTTAGTAGCCAGCCTCTAAATTAAGTAGAATATGAAAAAATATTTAGAAAATATCAAATGGTTTTATGATATCTCGCAAATATATCAATCATATTCATTCCATTTCTGCATATTTACCCAAGAGAAATAAAAGCTTATGTTCACAAAAAGACATACACAAATGATCAAAAACCACAATTATTTTTGCACAAAGCTAATACAATGGAATACTCAGCAATTAAAATGCATAAATAGCAGACATGCTCTACAATGTGGATGAATCTTGAAATAATTGTGCTAAATAAGCCAGACTAAAACATATACATGCTGCATGGTTCAATTTCTATATTTTTTTAAGAACTACAAACTCATCTATAGTAGGGAAAAGTGGATCACTGGTTGTCTGGGGATGGGTGGTTGTTTGAGAAAGAAAGGCAGGAGGGCATGACGAAACTGTTCAGGGTGATTGATTTCATTTTCATGATCATGCTGATGGTTTCACAACAGTATATGGTGGGTCAAACTTATTGAATTGTTCCCTTTAAATATATGTAGTTTGTAGTATGTCAATTACATATTGATACACTAAAAAAAAAGCAAATTAAACAACTAAACATGTATACCAATCTAGGAACATTAGGAATTGACAGGAACAGCTCATACATCTGTGTAGCCCCAAAGGACATCATGATTTTCAAACTAGTAAAATGTTACCTGTTCATGACTTAAACCCCAACTCACAATACATTATACATTTCATTTGTTAATTCCAGGAGTGTTGTAATACTTTAGGAATATTTTATTTAAAATAAGAGTAGATTTAGTATTATTTTTAAAAGAATAAGCCTCAGTTAACTGAAAAAAAAACTCTCCTATTGGAAAAGCGGAGCCCTTGAATATAATCAGTAAAAAAGTGGCACTATTCTAGAGTTTAAGTCTATTTTCTGTAAAGCATGGAATTTCGTATCTAGAACACTAGCATTCTATTATAGCATTCTGTGAGCACAAATGAACTATAATTGCTGTTCAGTTTCATGCCTGCAACATAATAGAGAACTCACGGTAAAATAAAAAACAAACAAACAAATAAACAAAAAGCAGCATAACAGATAGAAAGGACTCTGTTCTTAATTTGCAGTGATACCCAACCATTGTGAACAAGCTCTGTCAACACCATCTGCTCCACAAAGGAAAGTTGCTGATTATTGCATCTCTAAGTGGAGTCGGTTCTCTCCCACGATAGCAGAAGGTAAGACAGTGACAAGCATTTGAGGGGCTCTTGCTTGTTTTTATGATTGATGATTTTTCTATTGAAAGAACTGGTTTGTGAACTCACTGGTGCTGATGAACAGAGGCACTGCTAAGGGCAGAAGCAGTCTGGGAGTAAAGCAAAAAAGAACAGAACTTTCTTCCCCTTGACTTCTCAGCTTCCTACACACAGCACTTCCAAACAAATGTTTCTACCAAGATCTAATTCATGTGATCACCTGTGTATTCAGTGGCAGCTGCAAGCGATGTTTTTATATTGTGTATCCCAGCACAATATACATGAGACCATTTAAGTAAATAGTATTTCATATTCCCGATTTATTATTTTGGCAGTATTTAAGCTGGAAGAAATTAAAGAGCTCTCCAGGTAAAGTGATATAACATTTTTACATTCTCAAATATAATTATATTAATGATGGATCACTGAAATTAATAGCTACAAAAAATGACAATAAAATTATGAAATACAATTGGGAAAGACATTAGTTATCCAGACTTGATCTAAGGAGTTATTGACATTGGGTGAGACACTCAAATTCATGGAACTATAGTTTCTGAATCTCTAATATCAGATTGAGGATGCCATATTTCTGCAAAGAAAAATGCAGTTAGTTGCCTCTGCTTTAGGAAGGAATTGATTGATTATTACACTGTACAGAAACAAGGGCTTCTGCATAATATTTCATAGCTCCAATATAAATTCAGAATTTCTTTGTTTTGTTTTGTACATCTTGGATTGAATCTTGAAATTGAATTAGATCTTGGAGTGTCTAAAAAGCCAAGAAAAAAGAGGCCTTCCAAATATTCACAATAATAGGGCAGGAGAATTTTTAGAGGTGGCAATCAGTTTTCTCCCATTTCCAGGAAAATTTTACAAAGTACAAATTATAATTATGGGTCACCAGTTAATACTATCTCTCTGCCATAGTCTGATTCTTATACAGAGAGCAAAATCATTTGTTTTTTAATTTATATTATTTATATTAACCTATTTTGATGATGAGTTGAAGGTGAAATTCTTACCTGTAGACTAAATAGAACGTATCAATATTCTACAGACAGCAAATTGTCATCGTAAGTAATCTATTAATTTTGAAAGACTTCATTGTTCAAGGAATACATATGTATACTTATAAGCTATACACATTTATTGCAAAATTAGCTATCTTCACCTTCTTATGCAATTTTTCACAATTTATTAGTCCATTACAGTATTTATGAAGAACACATTATATCTCATGAACCTTCCACAAAACAGTTTTGAGGTCTTGATCAAATTACTTAATTTTTCCTTCAGTTTCTACATTTTTTTATTTTTTATTTTTGGGACTGTCTCTCTCTGTCGCCCAGGCTGGAGTGCAATGGCACTATCTCAGCTCACTACAAACTCCACCTCCCAGGTTTAAGTAATTCTCCTGCCTCAGCCTAGTAGATGGGATTACAGGTGCCTGACAGCATGCCTGGCTAATTTTTGTATTATTAGTAGAGATGGGATTTCACCATATTAACCAGGCTGGTCTCGAACTCCTGACCTCAGGTGATCCACCCACCTTGGCCTCCCAAAGCGCTAGGATTATAGGCGTGAGCCACTGCACCAGGCCCACTTTATTCTTTTAAGGTCATAAAATAAGGATAATAAAAGCCTGTCTCAAAAGTGTTTTCTAAATATTAACTGAATTAACTGAGGCAAAATACATAGATTGATTCCCAGAATACAATGTTACCAATATTTTTAGCTAACTTGCTTTGTACGTACCAAGAACTGTGGTAAGAATGGGCCAACCATGGTATAATTAGATTGATGTAGTTCGTTGCTTCTCAGAACTTAGAATTGAATATGAAAAACCGACACTAGTTATCGGGGGAGCCAGCCCCCAATATTTCAATGTAGATTCTTTCTATTTTCCATAAGTGTTGGCCAGCCTGAGAAATAAACAGAAAGAGTACAAAGAGAGGAGTTTTACAGCTGGGCCTCCAGGGGTGACATCACATAATGGTAGGACTGTGATGATGACCCTGAGCCACAAAACCAGCAAGTTTTTATTAGGGATTTTAAAAGGGAGGGGTTGTATGAACAGGGATCAAGTCACAAAGATCACATGCTCCAAAGGGTGATAAAGATCACAAGGCAAAGCCAAAATTAGAATTACTGATGAGGGTCTATGTGCTGCTGTGCACATATTGTCTTGATAAACATCTTAACAGGAAACAGGATTCAAGAGCAGAGAACCGGTCTGACTAGAATTTACCAGGCTGGAATATCTCAATCCTAGTAAGCCTGAGGATACTGCAGGACACCAGGGCATATTTCAGTCCTTATCTCAATCACATAAGGCAGACACTCCCAGAGCGGCCATTTATAGACCTCCCCCTAGGAATGCATTAGTTCCCTAGGGTATTAATTATTCATATTCCTTGCTGGGAAAATAATTCAGTGATATCTCTCCTACTCACATGTCCATTTATAGGCTGTCTGCAAGAAGAAAAATATGGCTCTATTCTGCCCGACCCCACAGGCAGTCAGATCTTATGGTTATCTTCCCTTGTTCCCTGAAAATCGCTGTTATTCTATTCTTTTTCAGGGTGCACTGATTTCATATTGTTCAAACACACATGTTTTACAATCAATTTGTACAATAGTGTTCCTGAGGTGACGTACATTCTCAGCTTATGAAGATAATGGGATTAAGAGATTAAAGACAGACATAAGAAATTATAAGAGTATTATTAGGGAAGTGACAATTGTCCATGAAATCTTCACAATTTATATTCAGAGATTGCAGTAAAGACAGGCATAAGAAATTATAAAAGTATTAATTTTGGGAACTGATACATTTCCATGAAATCTTCACAATTTATATTCTTCTGCCACGGCTTCAGCCGGTCCCTCCGTTAGGGGTCCCTGACTTCCCACAACAAGTAGTTACACATTGTTAGTTATTGATTTAATAATAAATATTATTTGCATACAAACTGTGTAAAAATGGAGGAAAGAATGAAAACATATTCACCACCAGTGCTGCTAAGATTAGAAGGGATGATGTTAACAGGTCAGAGGAGAAAGTTAATAAGAAGTTGCCTAGGTTTTCAATTTTGTGTAGCTGTGTAAGGGGGACAGGTACAAAGATGCTCAGATATAGATCATAGATAATAAGGCATCACCTGTGCATGATACAGGTAGAAAATTCTGTAATTTACAGAAAGGAAAATCTATGTTTCAATTGTATGAAAATGAAACATTTTATAGAGAATGCAGAGATTAATAATGATTTAATGTAATATCTAATTATGGCTATTGGAAGTCCTTCTAGTTTTAAGGTCACAGAATTTTAATATTATCAGGTGACCATAGGAAGTTGGAATAAAAATGTTCCAGTTAAAACTACAGTTTCTAAAACTTAGTGGTGCAATTCCTGTGGATGACAGTGAGTAAGAGCTAAAGACAGTTTCAAAAGACCAAAGAACGTATAGAACATTGTAACCAATAAAATAATTATTAATAAATGTTGATATTACCCACTTTTTTGCATGAGGATTAGATGAAATCTACTGTTAAGAAGTGGAGGGAGGAAATGGTAAGGTTGACTTAGGTAAATAGTTTGTTCAATCAAATGGTTATATTAAGCTCATACACTGTACATATACTAAATAAATATGTTTCCTGGCATAGTATAGAATGATTTCCCACATAACCAATGAAATTCCTATTTTCTTTGCTCATTAGTTTGTCCTGAGAGTAGTAATGGCATTTTGCAAGCTGTGCCTGGTTCATTTTAAAGTGATCTCCTGGCCAGTTTAGAAATATTGAAAATATACTACTAAGAAAAAAAAAACTTTAGTTATCTACATGGACTGAGTGATTGTTTTTAATCACAATTAAGTGCACTTGTATGTATTTAGTTGTGAGATTGGCATGAACCCTAGTACTCAGAGGTACTCTCAAAATACAGGGTGATGAGTCTTGGGAGAGCAATGTGAGAGACCACATTTTAAAGTGTTAAATCAAATGCACACATGTTCATTTCCTTGTTATCTGGAGGTGGCATTCAGATGCCTAACTGCTGATATATATATATTTTTTTCACAGACAAGACATTTGGCTTCTTACTCAAGGGCTTACTTGGAAAGACTGTTGAGTTGGCAGCTATAGCCACTTTTCCATTGTCAGAAATGAATAAAAATGCAAGGTCTAGGATGATTCTTAAAAACAAAACTTCCTTTTGTTCTTTCATTGCACACATATGGATCCTTGGAAAAAGAAATTATTTTCCTTCTGTCTCTAATTAAGTTTTTATGCATCCCTGGCCTGCATTAAGCTAGAAAAACAGGGATCTCGCATAAATGAGATTTCATATGTGAAAGTACTTGGAAACTGCAAAACACCATACAATTCTGAGACATCCACAAGCATGTAAATATCATAGATTCTTCCATCTTTTTGATGAAACCATCACTAATTACCTTAAAATATAACATATCCTTCTTATAAATCTCATTATTTTAACCTTGCAAGTCATTCCTTAAAACCTCACATAAATTTCACACCACCAAGAATACGCTCAAACTATATCATCACCATGGAAAACTTCCCTCCTTCCTTTGCTTTTGTAAAATATCTTTCACTTAAAAATACCTATTTGACAACCTATGTCTGCAAGACACTATCATATGTCCTGAAATATAGAAATGAAAAGAGGAGAAATATTTCTCCCATAGAAAGCCAAGATTATTTTTCCTCCTCCATTTCTTCAAGACAGAAGAGGAAAGCCAGCAGGCTAGAAGATGGTGGGCTGGGAGACAGTGAGGTCAGATTAATTTACAAGAACCAGCAAGTTTCAGCACACGGTTAGCCTGCGTGCCAGGGAAAGGAGAGTGGATTTCATTTTAAATGCAATGGAAATCTACTGGGAGATATTCAGCAGCAAAGAACAATGGCCTGATTTATGTTCTTTAAGATGATTCTGATTTTATTAGTACTACATTTAGACCCAAGCAACAGGAATCTTCTGCCCTGAGCCCCATCATTATAGAAAACTCTGCATAACACAGACACCCAAACAATAGATGTATTAAAGAAGACATGCCCTCCTCTGTCTCTAGGCACACATTGAGCAGTCCTGGCAGAGGACAAAGGTGACCACAAATACCTGCTCTTGAAGAAAACAATGTTTAGACCCCAGGGAAATGCTTCTCCACATCTCTTGGGCTATGTCCTTAAAATTGAAGGGAGCTGAGTTTTAATGCCATAAAAGTTCATGAGTCGTATCCTTGTCAAAGTTAGAAATATTCCTTCACTGCTGCAGTATACAATAACAACTTGAACAGGAGGCATAGTTAGGTAAGAGAGGAGACAAACATGTTTACTCGAGGAACCCATTCTCTCAGTTGGCATGGATACAGTGGATTTTTGCACTCTGAAATTATCATTGCACAGTAGTGTCCAGCATTCATTTCCTAGCATCTATTTATTGTCCAATTCATGATTCTGGGAATACTTAACAAATGAAAACACTATTATAATTGCACTGTAAGTCAAGGAATATTTTGCAATTTTAAATAAGAACAGCAAACTGTAGCTCCTGGATTAAATTCTGCCCATTTCCTGCTTATATAAATAAGCTTTTTTTTTGGCCCTAGCCACACAGTCAGTTGTATATGTATTTTCTGTGCCTGTTTTTGTGCTGTGACAGCAGAGCTCAGTTGTTGCAACTGATACCCTGTGGACTGAAACCCCTAAAATATTTACCATCCAGATCCTTACAGTAAAATGTTTCCCTCATCTGTGCATGCCTGAAGTGCAAAGCTCATTCTTCTAAATGCTTAGATATTTCTTAAGAGATGGTAAAAAAAAAAAAAAAAAAAAAGTAGCTGGCTGTGAGGGAGCACAAAGGTATTTTACTGAGAAGAGTAGTAAATAATGACCATGTACAACTCATGCAACATTGGTAATAACAGCTTTATTCATAACATCCCCAAACTGGAAAGAACTCAATGCTTTTCCTCAGCCCAATTGATAAGCACGTTGCAGTATTGTATTCATCCGTTTTTATGCTGCTGATAAAGACATACCCAAGACTGGGCAATTTACAAAAGAAAGAGGTTTCACAGTTCCATGTGACTGGGGAGGCCTCACAATCATGGTGGAAGGTGAAAGGCACTTCTCACATAGCAGCATACAAGGGAAGGGTGAGAGCCAAATGAAAGGGGTTTCCCTTTATAAAACCATCAGCTCTCATGACACTTATTCACTACCATGAGAACAGTATGGGGAAAATCACCCCCATGATTCAATTATCTCTCACTAGGTCCCTCCTATAACATGAGAAATTTATGGTAGCTACAATTCAAGATGAGATTTGGGTGGGGACACAGCCAAACCATATCAAGTATATCGACAAAATAGAATCCTCTTCAGCAATAAAAAATAAATAAATTCCACATATACCCAACAGCATGCATGAATCTTTAAAATATTAAGCTGAGTGATAACAAGCAAAATAAAGAATTATTGAAAGATTCCATTTATTTGAAATTCTGGAATAAGCAAATGACATTACATTGAATAAAGGAGTCCAATAGTTGCCTGCAGCCAAAGCTCTAGGGAAAGCGGCTGACTACAAAGGGCCTATATTGGGAAACTTCTTAACTTCTTTGGCCCCAGTTCAAAGACAAAGGAAGCTGATCTTTGGTGGTTGGACTGGTTGTATATACAGTATATCTAAGCCTAAAAGGGAAGCATACATGAATTTTGCAAGCAGCTGTCTCCTTTTCTGGCAAGCATTAAAAACTGTTTGATTTATTGGGGCCTCTTGTACTATCTTCAATGGAAAAAGAGTAAGAATAAACATGCAGATGACACGGGGCCTGGAGCTATAAACACTGTGATGGATATCAGCAATGACACCCCAATTTTTCTTGAGGATGATGCACCTATCTCCCACCTGTGGGGATTAGGGTCTATTGACTGCCCTAGCATGCTGCTCACTGGGAATCTCCCTCAGCCTTAGAGCACTGCCTCATTCAAGGTTGTGTCCTCTTCCAGAGGGCCACACTTGGGCAGTGGCCAGCTGATGAAGGAACACAAAGTCTGGGATCCCTTGCCTTGCTTTGGAATTCCAGCTCTGGAGGACCAATTTCGTTGCATTTTGAACATCTATACTTTTACCTCCACTCAAAAAATTCACTTCTATCACAGTGAAACAACGTTCAAAAATGCATTAAACCACAAAGTCAAAGAGAATGAGAAATGACAGCAAGAAATGTCCACAAGATGGTGGAAACTGTGAACTCAATGGATGACTGGAACCTGACTTAGAAAGAGTGAGGAAAGGGAAATCAACAACAGACTCCAAGAGATTAAGTCAAAAGATCAAGCAAGCTGATGTGTATCCAAGAACCTCAGAGGCCCACAAGTTGGAATGTAATTGCCATTGATGGCTAAAATGTGGATTGGGGCTGAAAGTGCAAGGATTAGTTAGAAGACTTTAGGAGAAACAATTAGTGTGTAAGATCTCTTTTCCTACCCTGTCAACAAGAACACTATTCTGTTCATCCCAAAAAAGGACTAAATATTTAATCTATGTAGCCGTTTAACAACAGAGGCTCTGGACTTTGACCACTAGCCATGGTTGAAAGTGGAAGTGCTATATTATGAACTGTGAGACCACCCACAACCCCCTTCTGTTCTTGACCATCTGAGCTCTCTGTCAGCATTTCAGTGCCTCATTCTTAAAGATGGAAATGTAAATTTGATAAAGTACTTAAAAAATAAAACATGCATAAAAAGAGAATGTAGAGAAACCAAAGACAATTCACAGAGGAAATTTTCAAAATAAGTACAATAAATTGTTTTATCACATTAAAATATTAACATCTAAAAAAGTAAACTACACAAACAAAATTTAGAGAACAGGGTAAAGCCATTAAAAATTAAAATAACACTGCAGAAATTGAAAAATAATTCAGCAATATAGTTAGAAGACAAATTAAAGAAGATCTCACAGAAAGTAGACCAAAAGTCAAGAAAGATTCCAAGAGATACAAAAATCTTAATAAGCTCTTTGAAAAGAAGGAACATAAAATGTGGAAGAAAGACTATCCTTCAGAAATAATTCAAACACTTCAGAAGGTCTTTGGCTCCACATAGGATATGAAAAAATACAAGAGAATATTACTCTGACACTAACTACAAGAATAAAACTAGGTGATCTACAAAATCATAACTTTTCTTGAAGCTAGCTGAGGTCTAAAGTAATTCAGAAAAAATTAATTCCAACAAGGAACAAGTCTCTTCCAGGATAAACAGATCACAAAAATGGTTTTACCTTTGGTAGAACAAAAAGAGGAAAAGTGGCAACCATGCAAATGATATCTGTTGGAAAAGGTGGACAATGCAGGAAATTCCAGCAGAGAAATGAAAACTAAGAAAGTATCAAATGGAATAACAGGTGATTTAAAAAAAAACGACAGAAAAGTTGAGAGGCTTTTCTTTAGATATAGCAATACTGCTAGACAAAACCATGAAGAAAAAGGTCAAACAAAAACACAAACCAAAAAATATGGTGAAAAAAACCACAGCTACCAAGAATGATGGGACAACAGCCAATGGTCTAATGAGAACATAATCATAGATGCAGAAGAAGAGGCTGGGGAGTGGGTGGATAATGGAAGTAACAATTGAAGAGATAATGGCCAAAATTTTTCCAAAATTAAGCAAATACCTCAATTCCTGGATCTAAAAAAATTCAGAATGCCCAAAGCATGATAAAGACAAAAATATATATTATTGCCAAAGTCCTAAAAATTGAAAGACAAAAAGAAAATCTTGAAGAACTGAAAGGAAAAGAAAGACAGGGAGAGAGAGGAAGGGGAAGGGGGAAGGGACAGGCAGAAAGGAAAAAAAGGAAGAGAGAGGAGGAGGAAGGAAGGAAGAATTATTTACAGAGAGAAAAATGTAAGAATTATACCATACTCTTGTTAGAAAATACACAAGCCAGAGAAAAATGAGTAACTAGTTCAAACTATTGAATAAGAAAAAAAAAAACAGACAGCTTATAATTCTATATTGGGCGGTGGGGAAGAAGTATCTTTCAAGTATCAAGGCAAAAAATATTTTTCAAAAAAAAAGAAAACTTGAGAAAATTTTGGGGAGAGCAGATTTGCTTCAATAAATAAGATTGCTTACATCTGACTGTAAAGCAGCCCCTAACTATTTTAATGAATAATGTTTGTTTGGATATAGTCATACCCAGTCACTTATTATCTGTGGCTGTGTTCACCCATAACATAAAAGTTGAGTAGTGAGAGAGACATTATGGCTCAAAAAGCCAAAAATATTTTTCTATCTGGCCTTTTACAGAAAATAAGCAAGCTGACTCTTGACTTGGCATAATAGTAACAAGTTATAATAGCACTAAATATTTATCAAAGTAAAATGTGTAAAAATTGTAATACAAAGAATGGAAAGGCTGAACTGGGAGGATCACCTTGGAAGGTTCCTATATGAGACATTAAGTGATATAACTATTAATAATAAGTAGACTGTGATAAAGACATATTGTAAATGCTAAATAAATTACTAAAATAATTATGGTTATAGTTATAACTAATTAAGTCAATAAAGATGAATTAAAATACTAAAAAAATAGGTAATATTGTAAAAATAGGCAGAGAGAAAAAGAACAAAGAACAGGTGGAATAAATAGAAAGCAGCAAGATGGTAGATTTAGATCCAATTATATTGCTAATTATATTAACTACAAAGAATTGAAACAGCCTCATTAAAAAACAGGCATACTGGATTTGGGGCAGAAATGCAAGACTAAACTCTATGCTGTCTTTAAGAAACATACATTAAATATAAGATACAGATAACACAAAAAAACAAAATATTTAAATAGATATATAATGTAAACAATAATGTAAAATACCTGGAATGGCTAAATTAATATCAGACAAAATACATTAAAACAGGGGATATTAATGGGGCTAAAGAGGGACATCTTTTGATAAATAAAGCATCAATTCACCTAGAAGACGTAATCCTAAATGTGTATTCACCAAACTACAAACTTTTAAAATACCTAAATTAAAAACTGATAAAACTGAAAAGAAAAATAGAGTAATTATTATAGTTGGGGATTTCAGCACTTTTCTTCTTGTAATCATTAAAAAAATAGAAAAAAGATCAAAAAGCATATAGAATACCTGAAAAACACTAGTAACTATCTTTACTTATTGATATTTAAGGTACAGTCCATGCAACAACAGCACAATACATATGTTTTTAAGTATACATAGAACACTTGCCAAGCTACACTCTATTCTTGTAATACATAATCCTCATGCTAATGTAAAAGAAATAAAGTTATACAGTATATTCTCTGATCACAATGGACTTAAACTAGAAATTAGTTATTGAAGGACCTTGGAAAATTTTTCATATATTTATAAATCAAACAAGGGACTTCTAAATAACAAATGTGTCGAAGAAGAAGTCACAAAAACATTAGAAAACACTTTGTTTAAAAATGGAATCTCAACTTATCAAAATCTATGGGACAAAAGTAAAGGTGTCCCTAAAGTGCAGTTTATTGAATTAAAGGATTACATTTTAAGTAAAAAAGTTTTCAAATCAGTTATCTAATTTTACCCCTTAAGATAATAGAGAAAGAAGAGTAAATTAAGCCCAAAGTGAGCAGAAGGAAGAAAATAAAGATAAATGGAAATCAATGACTGTAAACAGAAAAACAATAGAGAAAATTAATAAATCATACCAAAATCTCATTTTTAAAAAATGAAATTGATAAGCTTGTAGCCAGACTGATCAATAGAGAAGATAGAAGACAAAAATAACCAATATCAGAAATTAAAGAAGGAACTTCACTCAGTTCCTGCAGACATTAAAAGGATAATAAGAAAATATTATGAACAACTTGATGGATGAATGTAGAAGCAATCCATACCCCAACAAAACTGGGCCATGGTCTCCTTCTATTTTCCCACAGCACCTGTACTTAGACCTTATCCTTCAGATCCTCTTGAATTCCTTGTTTATTGTTTTGTCATTTCCTAGGACATGTGGTTGACCTTATAGTCAAAGCTGGTTCACAATCACATGCACATTTCATCTGTTTGAGGAAGTGGCGTAGATGGTGAATACATCATTTCTATTCATATTGCATTTAACCATGTAGGCAACCTCTAGCTGGGAATCATAGTCTTTATCTGGGTGGCCATGTGCCCTGATAAAGTTGATGCAATGCCAAGGAGTTCATTACTAAATGTAAAAGAGAAACTAGAGGTTGAATGCAATTAACAATCTCTGTCATAGCCCTTCACGAATATTCCTCTGGTTAACACATTTCAAGGCATCATGCCCTTGAGAAAGTCTTCTTTAACCCAATAGACTTGGGTTATGTGACTCTCCTCTATATTCCTATAGCATCCTATACTTATAAATGTTGCTAACACCTGCTATAGTATTTATGCATCAGTATCTTCCTCTACACTCTAGCATCTGGTAGGTTTACAAACATTTACAGTTGAATATATGTATGACTTGATAAATAATTGATGAGCCTCCTTTCATTTCAGCTGAAGTTTAATAGATGTTTACCATTCTCACTCTTTTTTTTTTTGCTTTTACTTTTTTTTCACCTTCCCTCCCTCCTTTCTGTAATATTAACCCTCGCTGCACTTACATATATTAGAACTCAAATGAATATTAAGACATATAGGTAAATATTTGTTAATATTAATCATGATCAAGTGTTAAATAGTGCAATATTGGAGAAAATAAGGTAGAAATAAAGTGAGCTTGAAGTTCAAAAAAAATTCCACAGAGAATGCATTTAGAATTATTGGAACGACATCAGACAGCAATTTAGGCAAAGGGAATTCTCAAAATATTAATATGTTAATTAAGCAATTACTACAATTTTTCCATTTCTCATTAAGCATTTATGGAATAACTATTACATGCAAATATGTAGGCTATACAATGTATTCAGAGACCCTATTTCATTTTTCTATATATGAAGAATCTACCTCTAAGATTTTATTAGAAGTTTAGAGAAATTAACATAAAAAGAAAAATACTCAAAAGTTGAAATGATTAATCTTCAACTGGAAATTTATGAATCTCACATGATTTCTTATTCAAAAACATGTCTATATTTTGGCATCAACAATAAATCAGCATTTTCAAATTGTACCAATTGTTTTACGGCTCTTGAAGCAACTGCAAAGGACACCATTGACAGGCTTTCAAATATATCCCAGACCAAAACAATAAAAATAAATAGAAGAAAACAATATAATCTATCTGACATTTCCATGAAAATTGAATGCTCTTCTTCTACAAACAGAGAAGAGAAGTTTTATTATTGAATGCCAAGGATCACGTATCCATAAAATGCCAAGAGATTTTGCATGTCACTCAATCACACAGCTGACAGCCTTCAAGGAGAACTGCTTCTCAGTGAGATGGAATGCTTTAATGAGCTAATTAGTTAGCTCATGAAGGTGATTCTGTGACATTACTTACAGAATTGCTCCAAAGTGTACTTATTCTTGCTGTTATTTTACAATAAATCATCTTACCTTATGACTCTAACTCTAATATTTACTTTAGAAATGGAAATTCTGTTAAACAGCATTTTTTCCCTGTTTGGCAGGCTATTGATTTTTATGTTGCAGTGATTTTAATTATTTCATTCTGAATTATTTCCTTGTATTTAGTGGAATATAATTAGCTTTACCATTAGTGCAAAAAGTTCTAGTCTATAGATCATCTCTGATAATAGATCAAAATAGAAATAAACCGAGTTCTGATCATCATGACTGTAAGCTTCCTCGTCTCTTTTTTAGGCTTTCACATTCACTATACTGTTATGGACATGGAGGATGGGAACCATTGCTTTGTTTACTCTGCAACTTCTTAATTATATCACAAAAGACTCGACACATAAGCAGTATCCAGAAAAGCAAGTCGACTACATAAAAATCAATGCATGATTGTCTATAGCCTTTGACATACTAGGACCAGTCAAGATATGTGTGGAGGGTAATGAAGAATGGGCAAATACCAGAGAAAAGACAGCTGAGTGTCCATGATAAAGAAGCTGGAGGCAGGGGCCTAGATTCCTTTTATTTTATTTTATTTTATTTTATTTTATTTTATTTTTGAGTTGGAGTCTTGCTCTTTCACCCAGGCTGGAGTGCAGTAGCGCAATCTCGGCTCATTGCAACCTCTGCCTCCTGAGTTTAAGCGATTCTCCTGCCTTTGCCTCTCATGTAGCTGGGATTACAGGCTTGCACCACCATGCCCAGCTAATTTTTAGTAGAGATGGGGTTTCTCCATGTTGGCCAGGCTGGTCTGGAACCCCTGACCTCAAGTGATGAGAATAGAGTTGAGTAAGAAGGGAATATTGCATACTAGGGCAATTGCTTTAAAATGGAGTTTTCCTGTCTGGTACATTGTATGGTTGAGAGAGTGTGTGCTGTTTAGCTGGGCTCCTGGCTTGATGGGCCACTACCTTTAACTCATGACTTGCTTCTCATCCACCTTGAATTTTCTAGCAGAACAATCATTAATTGATCTTCAAGTCTGTGTTGTCAATCCTGTTTTCCCTGCTTTAGGATGCTACCTTTTCTTACAAGGACTAAGTGCTTCTCCATGGACTTAAAGTCTTACTTGGTTTTAAGACAAAGCTTTAGCAGCTTCTCTTCAGCAACATCACTCCCAATCTCTGTAGATTTCTACACTTTCATACATCATTCTATCCACATGTATATATCCATTATTATACTTTTCCACTCTACATTACATTTATTGACCAATGTATTTGTCACTACTGCTGACTAGTAAGCTCCTTAATGTCTGGGAACACATTTCAAGGCCCGTGCCCTTGAGGAAGTCTTCTCCAACCCAGTAAGATTTGGGTTATGTGACCATGTTCTGGTTCCTGTAGTAGTCAGGGTTCTCCAGAGACACGGAACCAATTTTGTGTGTGGGTGTGTTTGTGTGTGTGTGTGTGTGCCTGTAGATATAAATGAACAGATTTATTTTAAGGGATTGGCTTACACACTTGTGCAAGCTTATAAGACGAATATCTGATGAGGTTAGGCCATCAGGCTGAAGACATAAGAAAGAAAGAATTGCAGTTTGAGTCCAAAGGCCATCTGCTGTAGAACCAGGAAGAGCCAATGTTGCGAATGAAGTCTGATGGCCATCTGTAGGAAGGTTCCTTCTTCCTTGGGGAGACCAGCCTTTTGTTCTAGTTAGGCCTTCAGCTGATTAGAAAAAGCCCATCCATATTATGGAGGGCAATGTGTTTTACTCTAAGTCTACTGATTTAAATGCATATCTCCTCCAACATCACAGAAACACCCAGAATAATGATATATAATAATGATACTGAACCAAACCTGGGCCCTACAGCCCTGTCAGGCTGACATATAAAATTAGCCATTGCTGTGATCACAGTCTCTTCAGTTTCTAATAAAGTGCTTGGCTTTATTAGAAAATGTAGGCAGTCGATACATGTTGAATGAAGAAACGAACTGAAGCTATTGAGCTCTACCAAAGAAAAAACTATCTTTCAGTATCTAGAAAAGAGTAGGGCTGCATTTTAGGCAGAACAGGGTTGATAGCATAGGTTGAAATATAAATCTGATTAGCAACAAAGATTGATTAATAATAGCCAGATTGTTATTTTGCAAACAAGGAGGAGATTCAGAGAAGAATAAAGTGTTTAGCCATATACTAGTGCTTTCAATAGAGGTGTGCATGCTGTATACAGAGACATAATGGCTGTTCTCTAGACTCTGTCACAGGCAAGGCTTCTATTCATGTTTCTTCTAAAGTCATCACAGTTAAAGACTTAAAATGTGCACATACCAAAAAAATTATAATGTTATGTGAGCTCAATACTAACGTTAAAAGCAGAATGAATCTGACACATAGAATATATCCTGGCATCAATTGTTGTTTTATACTTCTGAGAGAGCAAGTGAACATTCACACACTTTAGCCAAAAGTTTTTTTGCTTTTTTGTTTTTTTTGTGACAGAGACTCACTCTCTTGCCAGGCTGGAGTGCAGTGGTGCGATCTCGGCTCACTGCAACCTCCGCCTCCCAGGTTCAAGAGATTCTCCTGCCTCAGCCTCCTGAGTAGCTGGGACTACAGGCGCCCGCCACCATGCCTAGCTAATTTTTGTATTTTTAGTAGGGATGGGGTTTCACCATGTTGGCCAGGACGGTCTTGATCTCTCGACCTGGTGATCTGCCTGCCTCAGCCTCCCAAAGTGCTGAGATTACAGGTGTGAGCTACCGCACCCGGCCAAAAGTTTTTTTTTGTTTTTTTTTTTTTCTTTTTTAACAATTCAATAACTATTACATTATAAAATGAAAACATGTTCAATCCATTTCTAAATTTAATGTTAGAAAAACCAACCTTTTCAGGTGGTATGAAAGATACTTCAAGAAACCCATTCCTAGTGCTTTTTTATTTTGTAGTTCTGCATAATTCATGTTTTAATCATATATGGCATCAAATATTTTTACTTAATTTTAGTCTTAATGTTGTTTAATATATTAGCTTGGTTAGAGACTTCTTAATTAAGCTGATAAAAGAGAAAAAAATAAATTTCATTTTATGGTCATGATACATAAAATAAAATTTTGTATGACATTATATTTATATATTAATAGACTAACTTCTCTTTGATACTTTAAATTTATGTATTGTCTTATTAAAAGCAATTTCATTACTTTTAACAACCTGCTTCTGGAAGACTATGTTATCAATTTCTACCTAACAAAATGAATAAATATAAAATATTCCAAGTTAAAGATAAAGTTATGTTTTGACACAGAGAAATGAGTGAAAAATGAAGCATTTATCTAGATCATTAATATAAAGAATGCACTGTTTCAGTTACCTGGGTGAATCTCAGTCTCTTCCTTGAATTGTTAAGATAATTTTCCATACTTTACTTAACCAACCAAAATATAGCTCATATTCATGTCGTATTATATGTAAACCTTCAGCTCTATTTTCTGATCCTCACAATTATAACCAACGTGATCTGTTGCATATAATTCTTTCTAAAAATTCCCGTAAAATCACACATTCGTAAGTTTTGAAAATAGCTCAGAAAAAAGACTGTATAATTTACTGTATGATTTTTAAATTGTTGCTTCAAGAATTCCACAAGTGAAAGAACAAACTTCTGAAATATCTGTAGAAATGGGAAAGTCAGTTGTTCCGACAAGGTTCACTCTAATCTCAGGTGTTTTCAGATCTTAGGAAGTTGTTCTTAATCAAAACTCTTCCTCCTCCATTACTCTTCTACCTTTAGTTGTAGGTTTGCTTTCAGGGGTTACCACTATTATCTTATCCAAATTTATACCTTGGGGAAAATGGAGTCACACTTTAGAGTTCACTAGGAATGAAATTCCACTTCTCCTGGTTGAAAGGAGGAGCTCCAGAGGACACATCCTGTTAAAGTCTCAGAATGATTAGAACCCAGAAACTAAATGCTGTAAACAAAAAATAATTAAGAAAAAGGTGGGACTTAGGAATGCCTTTGATTAAGCCAATAAATAGAATTGGGAAGAGGTCAGGAAGAAGCCAGGGATATGTGGGGTTATGGCTTCCAACCCAATTGAGTATTGCAGCTGAGTGCTCTGCTGAGTGTCAGAGCATGTGGATATGTTGAGATTACTGAATGGTACGCAGTTAAGGTAAATTACTATTTCTATTACTCCTCAGTTCCTAATGGAAGAGTTTCAAATCAACTCGGTCTCATACTTGTTTTGCTGAACTCTGCCCTACTTGTACAATGGTCTCCTGAAATTAGCATAGGGATTGACTGACCACTGTAAAGTTGTACTATTATTTTAATTGATCAAGACACTACATTCCTGTAAGTTTTTTTTTTTTTTTGGTAACTTATTAATTGTCTTATACAGAGCCTACAATCAATTACATTATGAAATATATATTGCTTCTTTTAGGATTCCAAGTTTTAAGACTTACATTTTTTTCTATGTTAAATTTAATCCTACCAGATTTGACCCAATATGCAAAACTATACAGACTGTTTTAGATTCTGTTACCCAACTTGCTGTCTCTCCTAGCTTTATGTCATCTAAAATTTTGAAAACTACCTGTAATAATTGGCAGAAAGCTCATAGTATAATTGCAGTAGTTTCTTTCAGCACAGGACTTTCTCTCAATATTGTTTCCCCTATATTACCTAGACTTTTTTCAGGTTTAATGGCTTATCATATCCTTTTAATACAGCCATTTTAAGAAATAATAATTTCCCAGATATCTAAATAAATAATAAATATTTATATGCTTCTAACCATTTACTTTCTGTAAATTAGTAGAACATACACTTATGTAATGTCTAGAAATAATAATTCATTTAATCCTTAAAACAACCCTTTGTGGTAGGTGTATACTATTCTTAACCCCATATTACAAATGAGGAAATTGAGGGACAGAGAAGGAATGTGACTTGCCCAAGGTTATAAGTTGCACAGTTTAATTTCACCCAGGATACCTTTCTTCAGAGGCTAGCCTCATTAATCACTGCTCTTTGCTGACTTGTACATGATCATAATTGTTAAATAAGATGAGTTTAGGAAGGAGCCCCAAGATCTGCTTCTAAAATGTCTTCATGCTGGGTGAAGCAGATGGACTACTCATCAATTTCTAGCTCTCTTCATTTAACCAATTACAAAGCCATTGGACCAAATTCTCTCTCTGTATTTCACAACTTTTCCACTTATTAAATGCTTTCTTAAGATATGGAGAAGATACCTCTGAAGATACTTTCTTAAGTATCTTCAGGTCCATAATCCTTTTAAAATGAAAACAAGGCCAAATTGCTGCTACATTATGTTTCATTAATGCCAGAATTTATATCTCTTTTCTTTAAGTAGTTTTATATCTCTTTTCTTTAAGTCGGATACCTGGAACATCAACTAGCACATTGTGAGCACTGAATTAATATTTGATGTATGGATGAATTTGATATAATTTTAATTCAATACACATTTTCTACTTACATGCCTGATACAATGACAATACAAACACACACACACACACACACACACACACACACACACACATACCCCATGATAGGCATTATGTATGATACTAAGATGTAAGAGACACAAACTCTGTAGTTGATGAGTACACAGGTAAAATTTTAAAATGTCAAATGGACGAATATATAAATGACTCATTTAAAGCAATAATATATGACACAGCGGTTCCTACATTTTGCTGAAAGGCCTTTTATACTCTTTAAAAATATTGAGACACCCAAGGAGCTTTTGTTTATGGAAGCTTTGTCTATCAATATTTACTCCATTATAAATTAAAACAAAAAAATTAAAACATCTTTATCTTTGTACAATAATAATAAATCCATTGTAAATTATCATAATGTATTTTATAAAATTTAATTTTTTAAGCAGAAAATATTAATAAATACTGTAATTGTTTCAGTTTTTTCAAATATCTTTCATGTATATCATAATAGAGGATAATCTATTCCTGTATCTAATCTGTTGCAATATATTGTTTGAGTTGAAATATAAAATAACACAACCAAACAAAACAAAAACTAAAAAACCCAGCTTTACACAGACATGTTTTCTGGAAAAAAAGAGTTCATAGTAAGAGAGAACACAGTAAGAAGCCAGTCTCAGGAAGCCAGTTGGGATGGATCATTGGTAAAACTCCTCCAAACAAAGAACAGCCTGAAAATCAAACTGCAGGTCCCAGATAAGAAAGAGCCCATGTCCTTGAATGGAAATGCTTATTCTGTGAACCCTGATCAACAAATTCCACCCTTTTTTGGACACATTTATCTCTCCTTGGCATGCCTTAGTTCCTTATTTTTCACCTATTGGTCTCTTACTTTTCATCTGTTTTACATATGTCTACCTTTTTGTAATTGGCTGCAGGCTAAGTCTTCATTTACATGGAGTGAATCATCACTTTAGCCCCTGATTCATCCCTAGTGAAGGTTCCAGCCAAGCTTTTTCTTCAGCTGCTGATTGATCCCAGGCCAAGCCTTCACCTCCGCCTCCAACTGGCTCTTTACACTATCATACCTCTTTCTCAGTGCTGCTTTCTCCAAAACAGCCTGCAGACCAGTCAGCACATTCCTCCCCTTCCAGTCCATAAAAACCCCGGACTAAGCCTCATGGTTGGAAATCCTCTTTCATGTCCCCCTCTCCACTGTGGAGAACTTTTCTCCTTCTCTTATGAAACTTTCACGCCAACCTCACCCTTAGTGTCCACGCTCCTTATTTTTCTTGGTTGTGAGACAAGGAGCTCTGGGCAATACCTCAGACAACGAGGCTGCTTCAATAGCAATGGTTAATCTCTTTTATGTGTAAAATAAAACACTAACAAACACAGAAAATAAAATACATTTTAACTCTTCTGCATAACATTTTATTCCTGGACCCATACTCCAGATATAAAATTGTTATGTCTTCTGCTAAGATCCCTAGGTCTTTAGCAGGAATCTGAGGTCACCACACTATCCACTTTCTATGAAGCTGCAGGGATTCGCCAGTCTAGTCCCCTTTACATTAAAACATTATGTAATTTTGTATATGAAATTAAATTTAATCCTACTCCACTACTTTCCAAAATGATCTTAGATGATTTATAAAAATATATGCAACACATTCAATGGGAATGAATAAAAAGAGAAAAGAAGATAGAGAAAAGATGTGGAGCATAGGCATAGACAATAACATGAGGCAGTAGAATTTAGTATGTTAATTTAGAGAAACTATGCAAAATGATTTTACATATTAACTAAAGATCAGCCAGAAATGCTATATCAACTTTCCTAGCAAAGATAGGAAGATGATCAATTCTTAGGAAGATGATCAATTCTTAGGCAAACACCACTACTACTTTTGCACCAATCTGATACAAAGGTCATTTGTTCCAGTAAGTGTTACAGAATTGAATTTTCTTAGAAGTAAAGTTTTATTTATCTGTTTGTTTTGATTCAGATGCATGAGAGAAAGAAATGGCCCTACATGCATAACCAGGTTTTATTAAAGAGGGCAAATAATAAGTGAGATGTCAGACAAATCTCAATCACAACTTTAAAAGAGGCACAGTAGCAAATTCTGTATTTCTGACTTTGAGGTTCCATTTTTCTGTAAGGACAAATGAGGTGGATGGATGCATGGAGAAGAGCTGATGATTGAGAAACATTCATTTTCTAAGGTCAAATAAGTAAATTCTCTGGGGGTCTCACTTGACCAAGGAATAAAATCAAGCATAGTTTAGGACATAGCTTGAACCTAAACTATGTCCATGAGTGAGTGTCAAACAAATCTGACAATATGAAGGGAGCAGGGTCACTGGAATCTTATTTGCATGAAAAAGAGAGTTTTAAAACTATACCTTCTTACAATGGAAAATCATAAAAAAAACATAAAATTTTGGTCTACGGACCAAAGTTTAGTTATCTATGGGGAGAGGGAAATCTGAATAGAACATATTTCCATTGTGCACCCCAGCCACCACTATACTCATTTTTGAGGTGTGGAAATAATCGTCTTCTCTTAACTTGTATGTCTTGGTAGCAAACAGGATTAGAGAGAAGATTGGAAAGGTAATAAGGAATAATTCTGTAATGCATTGGAGCAGAGTCTCATTTTGGAACCTCTGTAGCAAAGTGTAACATAAAGAAGAAAAATAATTTTCATTAGTTGCAAAAATCAGGGCACAATGTTAGCACCCGAGAAGTCCCATGACTTTAGCTCAGGGAAGAGATGAAAGAACTGGGAAGAACATAGCAGTGCTACGCTACAGGGGCAGTAATAGTGACTGGGAAGCCCTGGTGTCTGTAGAGAGAGAGAGGTGCTTTGTGGACACAAGCAAATCCAAAGAATCTGCCCAGGCGGCCAGAAGATCTACTAAATACCTACTACTTCAGTCTCTCTTCTGCTAGGCATCTTTCCGAACGACTATGTGTGTCAGATGCTACATGGATGTTGATCAGATAGTTGACTATGCTTGATTTTTTTATTTCTGATCCAACCTTTCCCCCAATCACAAGAGGAAGCTTTCACAAGGAATTCAGGTCTTGGAATTGTGGTGTAGAAAAGAGTCAATGCAACACAGATTACACTAGAGTATATAGAAAAAATGGATGGCTGGTTTGCTTTTCAGGGAATAATATTAATTTTTTTCACATAAAACAAGCATTTAGGGAGATTTGATTAGGAATACAAATGGTAGTTATATTGCCTGTATGTATATCAATTGCAGGCCCTCCATGTTCCCATTAACGGCAAAACTAAAAACTTCAAAAATCAAATTGAAAGAAGGATTGACATACTCATTAAAAATGAAGCACTTAACCCACACTCTCATATACATGGAAGGACAACTTTCTCTAATGGTGACAACAAGAAGAGTCAATATTTTAACTGTTTTGGGTCTTTCCTATATACAAACACAGAAACTACTGAAGCTTCAAAATGATTATAGCCACGATGATTTTGACCTTAAAAGTATTTGTTCCCTGGGCTAAAGTTTATAAAGAAAAAATAAACCCTCTAATTCAGTGGTTAAGCATCTAATTGAACAGTCAATGTGGTACAATGGAAAGTCCTCCAAAATCATTTGGAAGTAACTGATAGGGTCTGCTTTAGAGAATTAGGACGATATGTCACTTATTTTAAAATATATCTAATCAATATGTGATTTGGGATTTTGTCATAGTTTATTTCCCCCCTTCCCTAAGAAGAATTCTGCATCAAGGCCTATTTCAAATTTATTACAATAACACCATATCATCATCTTCACAGAGGCTATTTATCTAGAATGCAGGTGGTGGGGAATGGATGTACTCAGTGAATTCAAAATGATTTCAAATTATAAAGTCACTAATTGAGAAGAGTGTGGAATTGGGGGGGAAGAGCAAAATCCCCAAACCTAAATTACATTATTCAAAATGGTCAGATCCACCATGAGATGTTTCCCCCATCTCTAACTCTCACACTCTGACTTCAGGGATCAGGTTGTTTTTAAACATCCAGAGTTGCCTGATGAGGTCACAAAACTTAGACCATGATAGGTCCCTTTCTTCCTGATCAAAGATGGAAAACCAGCATAACCACTGCTAAATATAAATAGCAATTTCTCATTTATATGGAAAATAAATGTATCTGATGCCATATCAAATATGAGCTTTCATAATCGCATCAGATTTATACACCAAATTTCTCCCATCTGTCAATTAAAAAGCATAAAGCATTCAGATATTACTTGAGAAATTGAATTCTTATCATTGGTACGGAAAGGAAAATTTCCTGCAAATTCATATGCTTATTAACAACCTCTGTTAATAGTTAATAATATTCAATTTTGAAATAATTGTGCTTAGAGCCTTCTTACTCTCCATGCAGAATATCAACTGGATAATTACTCACTTTCAATATGTTAATGAGGACCTTGAAACACAGTTTAAATGAAAGGTGAATGAAGGCCTCCCCTCCACTATCTGTCCCACTGACCCATAGAATTTTAGAATCAATAGTTCCTAAAGGATAGGTCAGTTTGAGCCAGAAAGAATCATATTTGTAAGTTAATTGTAGGTTCAAAAGGAAAGGGGTCATGGCATGGTGTGTCAAATTGGCTGGGCTACGATCCACAATCAAACCAACTTTAGGTGCTGAAATAAAAGGGAATTTGCAAATGTAATTAAAGTTTCTAATTGGCTGGTTTTGTATAAAGAAGAATATGCTGACAAGTCAAACTGGGCCTAAATTAATCAGTTGGAAGGCCTTGAAAGCAAGGCTAGGAATACTCAAGAGAAAGAAAAAATTTTGTCTATGAACAACAGCTTTCTTTGACTCATGTCCCTGGAGTTCCTGCTGCTAGTGATCATTCCTTCCTGGCCATCTCTATGGAGTTGGTCTTGCTTATCCAGCTCCTAATAACTGTGTAAGACAGTTTCTTGTAATAAATCTCTTAATATGTGTATGTGCACAAACACATATATATGTGCATGAGCGTGTGTGTATATTGATCAGGATATGTATATATCCTACCAATTCGACTTCTCTGGTTGAATCTATGGAATCTGGACTAAGTTGTGATGCTAAATTTTCTCTGAACACCTACTCTGAAGCCAACTGAAGCACTCTGATATACAGATCTCAGATTTACGGTTTGCCTTTTTGTTGGGGGAAACAGATGAGTTAGTTTATTAGTTTATTTTAAACTCTGGCCTTTGATAAATTTATAGAGAAATTCTAAAATATTAAAGAGCTTTGAGGCATCCTGAAACAATTCTCCAAACCCAGAAGTCAATGTCAGACATCTAATTTTGCTCAATCAGGATGCGTTTAAAGACCATTGTAGATAGTCAAGAATCTGATTTCATGAGATAAAAGACTAAACCATTAAGTTATCTAAAATAGTAAAACCATTATTAGAATTAAAAAAATAAAATTTGCCTAATTTGTCACAGTCAATGGCAGTCATTTAATTATTATAATTTTTGATGATTCCAAAATAATACATACTCATCATTTTCAAAGTAGGTCACAATTATGAATTATCAAAAGAGAAAAGCAAAATCATATACCATTTTTTTCACATATCAAATTAGCAAAATTTTAAAGCTTACTAATAATAGTTTGTATTGGTAACGATAGTAGGGACATGAGAATTTTCATAGACAGCCTGTAAAAAGAAATAATTGTGGTTATTTTGATTGGTAATTTGACAGAATAATGTAAAATTTCAAATACATATATATTGTGACCTAAAGATGGAATTTAGGATATATATTCTAGAAAAACACTCATACATGTGTGCAAGGAGGCACAAAGAAAGATATTTATCGTAGCATTATATATAATAGTAGATAAAATGAAAACAGCATAAATGTCTGCTTATATGGTAGTTTCATCTACATATTTTACAGCGGTTATAACCCAAAAAATCTTACTTGTGTAATGAAATTCTTAATATTTGCAAAAATCTGGAAGTTCCGTCAGGAAATTCCATGCCCCACTGATAAATAATTAAACAATTTGACCCTTATTTGATTTTTCTAATTTTCATTTTTATATTTGCACTACCATTTAGAAGGGATAGTGTCAATAGCTGCAGAAGTAACAAGTTTGTTGTAAAATCAGAGTGGATTTATTCTACGTTGTTTTGTAGAACATCCTTCCACCTACCATATCTTGCACATTTTCTCATACAAAGACGCACACTAAAAACACTGTCTTCATGTAGATCAGTGCTTCTTTTGATGAGAATTTAGCATATTCCTGAATTCTTAACAAAGCAAACACGTGTCCTTTTCTGTAAATGTATCTTTACATTTTTGTCTGTGTTATGTCATTGTTATTGTTTTGACCTATTGCAGAGAAAAATGTAACCTCACAGATACTCTTATCCTATCAGAAGAACAAGCATACGTACATCTTGAGGCCTTATAACAAGTTTTAATTGTTCTGTCAATTGTCTAGAGATAAGTGGGAGATTTTAAAAATAAAGTGTAAGACTGACACTATTTGCTTGTCTGTGTATTTCCAATATGTTCTTGACACTTTCTGCTTAGTAACAGTCCACCAAGTTCAATGGTTGAGTGAGTTATTTATGTAAAACTAAGTAAGAGGTGCATAGAAGATTGGTTGTTTTTAAACAAAATTCATAGTCCAGTGTCTCTTATTCCTATGACTAAAGGATACGTGGTACTAATTTTCAGAGACAATTTTGTCAGAGGGATGGTGAGCTTCATTGCTTTTTCATAAGCAAGAATAAGCAATTCTTTATAATTGTGGCTATGTAAAGAGAAAGAGAGATTGATTCTCTGTTTAAATAACCAAGCACTGTACTTTTCAGTATGTCTTATTCTTCTTCACCACAATTCCAGGGACATAGAATCCAATAAGGATTATATAAAATCAATAAGTTAATATTGCATGTACACTGAAAAAAATCTATACACTTGTTTCTAGCAGATTTAAGTAGGCTTACTTTAAGTCACATTAATTTGAATAAATTTACTGTTCCACTTTGTGGAGATTAGTAAGTATGTAAGAATTAAATTCCTATAATTAACACAAATTTGAAATAAATTATTGGATAGTGCTAAAATGCATTGTTCACAAACAAAATGAACTTGAACAAAAGATGAATAACAAACATCTAGTTATAAGGACATTAGAGCAATGTAATAATTGTGCTACAAGTTATCAGTACATCAAGACAAAGAGTAATTTCTGTTTCAGTACTAAAGGCTATTAAGGCATGTATGTTTATGCAAATTTCATTTCTTCTGATGAAGGCTTTAATTGTACTCATTTAAAAAGCTAGACTAGAGAATTTAACATTTTTTATAAGGAGAATAAATATAAACATTTTTGTGGGAAGGTAAAATTTAAGTAATTTTGAATTAAACATTGAAAATGTTATTTAAAATTAAACAAAAATTGGTTTTGGCATATTAAAGAATTCACAATTAATATTAGATTATTTGCTTTTTGAATGTCAACTAGCTTAATTTATTATAAATGTACTGTTGAGAGAGAATGCACGAATAAGAGTTATTACATCAATATTGCTTTTCTATATCAATTTAACAACACATTAACAATAAATGTGCAGCTGCTATTAGTAGTTACCTCCTTTGAAAAACATTACCATGGAAAGATTATTGAAGCATTTAATCAAATGCTAACAAGGTAGCCTTGTCTGTGAATGAAACTGTAATCCATTTGCTTAAAAACACCTTCATTAAATAAGTCTTTACTAACCTTATTTTCTACAGATCTTATATAACAAAAAATCATATTCACTGCAGAAATAAAGGCTGACTTTTGGCCTTAAGGACTTTCTTTAGAAGAAAAGTAATTATCCATTGACAACACACATAAAGAAGTAATTAACCTTTGAACCATCTTTAACTTAAAAATCCAGAACCCTCATTACCAAAGCAGTTATACCAATCACGTAAATTAGTTGGACCTAAAATCTCAGGGCTTAATAGAAACCAAAATTTTAAATCAAAACCAAAATTTCTGTTTTGGACAGTGTGTCCTTTACTTACTTTATTTTAATGACCTTAATGTTACTGAAAGAAATTACGTTGATGGTCTATTTTTAAATATTAAAAAGTTGTTTTTCTTATTATAAAGATAAATATGCTTAATGTAGAGAAGCTAAAATATATAGAAAATGTACAAATAAAGTAAAAATAACCCTTAATCCTACTATCCAAAAAGAAAATCAGTTAAAAATTATATTTATACACTTTCAGATACACACACACACACGCACACACACAGAAATAGTTTTCTACCCAATTCTCTCAGTGAGTGTAAAAGGTTAGTACTCCTGACATATGATTAACACTTTATAAATGTTAATTAAATTGATGGTGGCTACTTGATTTAAGACATGGACCTTCTGGGCTCTTACATCTTGGCTACTGTATCTTCCATTGTGCAAAAAGTGTTTGGAAGCAGAGAAAATGTTTACAAGGGGCCTCAGAGATCATATCCTATCATGCCATAATGTAACAGTCTCGGGCACCACAAGCAAATGTTTCTAGACCATGCAGTTAATTCAGGGTAGAGCTGTGTCCCCACCCAAATCTCACCCTGAATTGTAATAATCCCCACATGTCAAGTGTGGGGCCAGGTGGAGATAATTGAATCAAGGGGATGGTTTCCCCCACACTGTTCTCATGATAGTGAATAAATCACACAAGATCTGATGGTTTTATAAAGGGCAGTTCCCCTGCACACGATCTAATGCCTGCCACCATGTAAGACGTGACTTTTCTCCTCCTTCGCCCTCTGCCATGATTGTGAGGCCTCCTCAACCACATGGAACTGTGAGTTCATTAAACCTCTTTCCTTTATAAATTACCCAGCCTCAGGTATGGCTTTATTAGCAGCATGAGAACAGACTAATACACCAAACTACACTGCAGGTCTATCCTGAGTCCAATATGTGCGTATTTTCTTAAAATACACATTTTCAGTACAGGTATATGCTGTCATTATTTCCACAAAGACTTTGTGGCTATTTATGTTCTTTCTAACAATCTGACTGGAAAATCAAGTTTTATTTCTTTTTTTTTATTATTATGGATACATAATAGTTAGCATATTTATGGGGCATATGTGATATTTTGATACAAGCATACCATGTATAGTGATCAAATCAGGGTAGCTGAGATATTCACCTCAAGCACTTATCATTTCTTTGTGTTTTGAACATTCAAATTTCACTCTTTTAGTTATTTTAAAATCTTCAACACATTATTGTTAAGTATATTCACCCTATTGTGCTACCAAATATGAGATCATTAAAATTGAACTGATGGAGATAGAGAGTAGGATGATGGTTGCCAGAGGCTGGGAAGGGTGATGGTAAGGGGGTGATAAAGAGGGGATCACTAATGGGTACAAAAATACAGTTAGAGAGAAGGAAAATCAATTTTTCTGAACATAAGAAAAAAAGAACCTTCCGTCATAATCTCTCCCATAGTCTCCCCACTTAATTTTGGAATAGCAACATGACCTGTTGAGGAGACATAATCAAATGATCCCATAAAAGTGCCTATAGAGCAGTAGTTGCATCCAGTATGTGTAAAGGAAGATTCCTATAATTCACATTATTTATTAAGCTGCAAAAATGAAATCTATGCTATTGCCATAGATAAAATTAAGCTAAATATGTTCAACAGATTCTCCTCACTAGGCACTGGCAAAAGTTTAATAATTTACCTAACCAAGCAAATAAAAGAATGAGGAGTAGAAAGTTAACACTTATGAAAACAGAAGAACTCAAAAGGATGGTGGGTAGGGGAAGCAAAACAAAACACAAAAACCGTCAATCCATGGAAAGTGCACATCAGAATGCATATGCATGTAAAATACTTGGATATTGAGAATTATGCCCATTCCTACACAAGAAATACATGATAGATCAGGAAGTGAAATACTTGTCCATAAGTTATTTTTTAAGGTGTATCATGTACAGAATGTCTCTGTGACAGAAATACTGAAATATTCACATTTTTGCTTTATCTAAAACTGTACTTAATGATCTCCATTGTTTTATAGATTTTTTTCAATATGTCCATGAATGATTATAGTTACGTGATTTTCGTATGAAGAAATAAAGTAGTGATTTGTCTAAATACCTGCAGGAGCTTTCTAGTTTCTAGTTCTACTTAACAATATCACCTTATAGAGTTTTAAAGATTATACTCTTTATCAAAGTATTTAGTCACTAGAGAAAATTATAATGGCTATCATAATACTTTTATATAGTTGTTTTAGTTAATACTCTAAAGCAAGCAAACAAACAAAAAGGCTCTATATGTCTTAAACACTGGAACCAAGAGCTCTTTAATTTACAATTTCTCAGTACCCAGCGTAGTTCTAAGTAAATACATAAATGCTGCCTGACTGAATAAGTAAATCAAAACTTTTTAAAGAATATTATGGTGTTTTCTTTACAAGACTATGCTGCATCTGGGCATTCATGTGATCGTTTGATGTTGTTTCATCAAGGTTTAAACATTCCAAATCTAACTTAAACAATACTGATAATCTAAAATTAAAGATAAAGTGCCTTTGGCTTTTTCTCCTTCTAGCTTTAGTTCAGTTCCTTCAGCATTTTGATAATCCTAAATTTTATGCTTTCAAATTAAGGCCTCTATTGTTCCCTTTCCTGCTTCTCAACTTTAACGTTAATGTGATTCATCCCATACACTTTCCTCCTTCCCTCCTTCCCTCTCTTCCTTCTTTCCTTTTCTAGTTTGATGACAAAAGTTTATAATTTCTAAATCTATTTATATTATGTCATCAAGAATAGCTAAAGATACAGTTTTATGCCATAAAATTTTTGGTCTTGGCTATATGTTCAAGTTTGCAATTCCTACAAGGCATTCAATAGTGCCCTCTAATGATGCCATTTTTAAAAACAACTGTACTACATTTCTGTTTTCTTTCAGGATGCTCATTTCTGTCCACATAGAAACTCTATCTCAAACATTAAAATGTTATAAAAACATTTTAACTTTTAAACATTTTATTGGGTAAAATCTATGAAATGTTCCTGATTATATTGTTGGATTTTTGTTATTTTTGTTCTTTGAAATTCACCGATGTCTAGCACACTCTGTAAAGACATTTAATAATAAAATTATGAATTGAAATTAGTCTCTCATAATTGTGGAAAACATTTATTTAGGTATTTAAATATTTTACATGTTTTATTGAGATAATTAGGTGGACTTTTCAAGTTTTCTATATTCCAGATATCATAAGCATGGTTTTACTAAGTATATTTTAGGAATATACCTATTCACCTCTTTGTTGCATATAAGGGTTTCTTGCTCACAAAAATGTATAATTTATCTTAATTCTGTCTTTTTACAAATAAAAGAATAATACAGTACAATTTTAAAATAATCATTTTTCAAATTTTGAGAACACTACAAAATTATCTAATACCTTCATAGATAAAAGACAGTCCTTTTGTCCAAATATGAAATAATACATTAAAATTGTTGCATGTCTGATGTCTCAATAATTAGGGATTTCTATCTTTTCTTACAAAATTCCCTAAGACAATCTGAAAACGAAATACTAATGGAAATTGAATATTATATTTGCACTTGACCAAAGCACAAGGAAGTATAGGGTAAAAATAAAATAGAATTATGAATAATTAGCTATTTGAGTCTATTAAATAAATCTATCAAGGATTAAGAACAAAAGAAAGACATTTTGAAGGTAACATCAAAATGTCTTTAATTTGGTTATTGTAGGGATAAATAGTGAGAACTACAAAACATACTTGCAAGAAAGATAAAAATTTAAGAAAAGACAACTCACCCTGGATGTGTATGAGCTACAATACATCTTAGAAAGAAAAATTTCAATACTCTGCTCTTAAACTGACAGATTCTGAATTAGTTGTAAACTCTGTGGGAAAAGCTCTTGGTGTCATCCCAGATAGATCAATGAAAACATTTCCTCCACATCCTTCACATTTCAAATCTCATCACAAGCCCAAGATGTTCTTCTATGCGGTATTAACCATGTTTCTAGCTCCCGGAAACTTGATGCTTCAACATGTGCCCTACATGTGCTGGACACATTTTGCTCCAGACAATGCCACAATGTATACCTGTGTCACTTTGTGTATTAGTGTGTTCTTATGCTGTTATTAAAGATATACCTAAGACTGGGTAATTTATAAAGGAAAGAAGTTTAGCGCACTGACATTCCACATGGCTGGGGAGGCCTCACAATCATGGCAGAAAGCAAATGAGGAGCAAAGGCACGTTTTACATGGTGGCAGGCAAGAGAATGCTTGTGCAGAGGGACTCTTACTTATAAAACCATCAGATCTCATGAGACTTAATCATTACCACAAGAACAGTATGGGGGAAACCACCACCATGATTCAATTATCTCCACCTGGCCCTGCCCTTGACACATGGGGATTATTACAATTCAAGGTGAGACATAGGTGGGAACACAGAACCAAACCATACCACTTTGCCTCGTCCTACTGCTCCCCTGTCACTCCCCCTGCAACTCCCTCCCTGGACAAGTGGCCTCCTTCTCCCAGGTGTGCTTTACATATCAAGCAACCAGAGCCCATACCCCAACCACTGCCTTTGTTAGACTCTTGCACTCTAGACCACCATCCCTTGCTCTATTCCCTCCAGGTCAGACACTAGACAACCAGGGACTGCTCCTATACCCTGGGAGAACAAACCAGCAAATCTGAACCTGCTCACCTTGCCTCACCTGATTCTTCCCACTGAAAACACAATAAAGGTTCTTGTCTGCAGCATCCCCGCTCCCTCTGCCTCCTGACCCACCCTGGTGCTCCCCCAGGTGGCCCCCCATGGTGTGGCATGTTCTCTCCTCTTAGGAACTGTGAGTAATAAACCTTCTGATGGCAATCGTCTTCTTATCTGTTGGCCTTACCGTGACTCAATGTTTCCATGAATGTGATATGTTCTAAAACACACACCTCTGAATTATTCTTAGCTTTTTGTGTTTTTGTTTTTACTTTGGATTTGGTTTTGATTTAAAATATTAGATGCTCTTGGGTGAGAATGCAGAGTACTTAGATCCATTTCCTACCTGAAATTAATTTCACTGTTATATGCCAAAATCCTATTCATCTAGGGTTTAGTTTTCTGCCAACCCTATCTGTGGTGAGAGCCTGAATCCTAACAGGAAACAAACACACCTGTAGGTATTCACAAGCACTGCTAGTCCCCAGATGCTTTTTAAAAAGCTGGGGAGATTAGACTAAGTTTCCTCCACTGTCTCCTTTCTGTTTTAATCGTTGAAGAATTATTATTGGCCTTCCTCAGTCACAGAAAATTAGAAGCAGCATCCAAGAAAAGATATTATTTATGTCAGCAAAGTAAATTATGGAGAACTCAAAAACTGCTCAGATTACCCAAATACAACTCACAAAGCAATGAAGACTGTTACTAAAGAGGAATCTATTTCTGAAGAAAAGGTTACAATATATGTGTACAGTGTTAGTCTGCATTTAAGAAGGCAGTAAAACCTAATTCCCTAGAATTTAAATTAAATTTCCATGTAAAATACTTTTAAGATTTCACTACTTAAAGATAAAATATTCAGTAATATATTTTAAAAAATAATTAAAAGGGAATCCTGATAATACTGGCTAAATGACCTCAATTTCAGAAAGGACTTAACATCTTTCATACAGCATGTATTATAGTATGCATTGTAATTGAATTCCACAACCCACATGTTATCATTCTCCTTAGGTTGCAAACTCTTTCAGGGAGACAGTCTTAAAGCTATATTATTTATTAGTTGTTTCATTTATTCAGCAAATATTTAACATTAATAGTGCAATAAACACCAAGCTAAACATTACTGATGACTGAATGTGACACATTCTCCATCAGGCCTATCCCTAGCATTTGAGGCATTCAAAACAAGCGTACAAATGGAGGCCCACAAACTGTATGTGTAAGTATTTAAAGTTATACATCAGACTAATGGAAATAAGGATTATCCCCTTATCTTGAAAAATATTCCCTCCAAAGAATTCAGGAAGCCAGGATTCCACATAATACCCAGACTTTCTTATCAGAATTTAATGGCCAATGCAGACCACCTGAATCCTAGCCACCATTCCATCCTGCAACTCATGGAGTCATTTCCACATTCCTACAAAGACCCTTACTCTAAATATCTCTTGGTCCTCGGAGTGTGTACACTGAGGTATTCTGACCCCAAGCAGACAAACCTAGGGAAGAGATCTGTTCAGGTTGTGGAAACAGGTTCAGTGCAGTTCTGACAGGGAATATCGGGTTCTAGGTAGCTGGAAGGCAGAAAGAGAGTGTCTTCTCCATCATTGTAGTCCTCCAGATCCCTGAACTTTTGAAGAGGCACAGACAGAAGAACACAGTGAAGGAGGTGGATAAACAGTGGGGCACAAAGCTTACAGTCTTTAGAGGGAAATCAAGGTGAAGTCAGCAACTGCAGGTGATTGTAGTGATGCCTTTGCTAAAAAGGAAATTAAGGAAACTAGGCACAAGGATTTAAATAACAATATAAAGAATCAAAGATGGAATTGCAGAAGAGGTGAGATATTTGTATATATTTTATGACCTCAATCTTGTCTTAGTACTTGCCAATAGGGATTAAGTATATTGCTAATGCTATGGAACAATTGTTTACTAAACAGCTGCAGGAAAAAACTGATTCATATCTGTTGGGAACAGGCCCCCCAAAATTTGTCCAAAAACTGGCCCCAAAACTGGCCATAAACAAAATCTCTGCAGCTCTGTGACAGGTTCATGACGGCCATAACGCCCACACTGGAAGGTTGTGGGTTTACTGGAATGAGGGCAAGGAACACCTGGCCCACCCAGGGTGGAAAACCACTTAAAGGCTTTCTTAAACCACAAACAATAGCATGAGTGATCTGTGCCTTAAGGACATGCTCCTGCTGCAGATAACTAGCCCAACCCATCCCTTTATTTCGGCCCGTCCCTTCGTTTCCCATAAGGGATACTTTTAGTTAATCTAATATCTATAGAAACAATGCTAATGACTGGCTTGCTGTTAATAAATATGTGGGTAAATCTCTGTTTGAGGCTCTCAGCTCTGAAGGCTGTGAGACCCCTGATTTCCCACTTCACACCTCTATATTTCTGTGTGTGTGTCTTTAATTCCTCTAGTGCCACTGGGTTAGGGTCTCCCCGACCAAGCTGGTCTTGGCACATATCTATATCTATCTATCTATCTGTATATCTATTGATAGATAGATTTATAAATATCTATTTGATAATATTTTATTTTTATTTGATAATATTTTTATTTTAAAAAAGTGATAGCAGATCTGTGAAGCCTATCTTATTAATGTGTATGGTAACATTTTTGTCTTTCATTTTTGAAAGATATTCTTACTAAAGAAAACCTAGAGTGACAATTTTTCATAACTCAAGGAGCCATTTCATTATATCCTATTTTGAATAAATTTTGACATGAAATCTGCTGTCATTCTTATTTTAGTTCCTCTCAATATGTGTATTTCTTTTGGCTGCTTTTAAGATTTTTTCTTTATCATTGGTATTTTCGTATTTGATTATGACATGTCATGATTTAGGGGAGTTTCTTATGCTCAAGATTTATTGAGCCTGGTAAGTCTGTAGGTTTATAATTTTCATTATATTTGAAAAATGTTTGGCTCTTATTTCCTCAGATATTTATCTGTCCTCTCAACCTTCTATAAATGTGTATTTTATACACATTTATTTACCATAAATTTTATGTATTTTACACGTTTTATGTACTATAAAATGTAAAATGTATTTTTCTTATTTTTTGAAGCTCTTTAATAAATAATTAGATCTTTAAGGCAAAATTAATAAAATTGTGTGGGGCTTTAGGAGATAGAAGTAATATGCATGAACAAGGACTATAACTATGAATACAATGGAACATTTAGACAAATTGATCAATTTATCAAAAGAACATTCCTAATTATTTATTAAACTATTAAGAGAGCTTCAAAATAAATGAAGCAAAAACTCACACCAGAAAGGAAAAATAAACAGATGCACAATTGTAGTTGGAGAATTAAACACTCTTCTATAGTAATTTATAGAATAAGGAGATAGAAAGATTGCAGTTGTATAAACTGTAACATATTCAATCAACTTGACCTAATTGATATTTACAAATCATTCTACCTAAAACAGCAGAGTATACATTTTTACCACTACACATGAAATATGCATTAATCTAAACTGTATTCTAGACCATCGAGCAAGTCTTAGTAAATTAAAAAGCGTTTAAGACAAAGTATATCTTTTGACCACAAGGAAATAAGAGTAGATATTAGTAATTGAAAAACAGATAGAAAATGTCCTAACATTTGGAAATTAAATAACCCCTGGGTCAAAGAAGATGTCATAAAAGAAATTAGAAAATATTGTTAATGGAACAAAAATGCAATGTATTAAAAATTGTGTGAAGCTGTCATGAAGTACATTAATTTTTCTCCTGCATTGTTGCATTGTTTAATGTGTTGTTAATCTCATTCATTGCCTTTGCATTTTGAACAGTGTATCTTTTATCTCTATGAGTTCTGTTGGTTTTGCAATAGACCCAGTTTTTCTTCTCATTATAGTCATGTTTTCATCTACCGTCTTGAGCATGCAAAACGTATTCATAATAGCTGTTTTAACATATTTCTCTTTGAGTTCCATAATCTTCCTTTGTGAATTTGTTTATATTAATAATTTTTCTTTTGGTTGTGGGTCGAATTTTCCTACTTCTTTTTAACCTTGGTACTTTTTAAAATAAGGCCGGAATACTGTAAGCTTTATGTTCTGGATTGCACTGTGGTTCTTTACCTAGCGTTTAACTTTTATACGGGCTTGCAGTTTACTCAGAATCAGTGGGGTCCTTTCTAGCTCGCTTTCAGGCTTTCTTAGAGTGAAGCCCGAGTATGCTTTAGTCCAGGGCTAAATGAGCCTCAGTACGAGGGTGAGAATTCTAAATGATGCTCCAGGTGTTACGAACTTTCCACTGTGGTTGGTCAGAACACAAACTAAACCTATTTCTTTGTGGGTTCTGGGAATTTTTCTGCATTAAAGAATGTTACTAGGAAGTATGAAAATTCTATTACATCAATGTTCTAATTTAAAATGAGAAAAGTTATGTTTAAGCAAGTTAAATCTAAAATAAATTGCAGAAAGGTAACAATAAAGATCAATAAATAAGTGAATAAAATAAAAACAATAACAAAAAATCAATAGCTGGTTTTAAACTTATATCAATAAATCAATGAATAGCTAAGCAGACTGCAAGAACAAAAAGAAAAAAATAGAAATTGCCAATATTGGAAACAAAAGTTAAGACGTCACTGCAGATAGTGCAGATATTAAAAAATAACGATAAGGGGGAAATGGTGACCAATTTTAAGGCAACAAAACTATAGCAATAAAGATAGATCAATATTGTTAAGAACAGACATAAGAACTGATAAATGTTTAAAGAACAGAATATAGAAAACAGAAACAGACCCATACATATATGATAAGTTTAACAAAGGAACAAGATAATTTGTGGGAAAAAGAATGAGCTTTTCAGCAAATGATGCTGGAACAATTAGATAACTGTATGCTAAAAATATACATTTTTCTCACTCTATACCCTAAAATATGCTTGAATTGAATCAGACCTAAAACTGTAAAACTATTAGAAGAAATCAGGAGAAATGTTCATAGTTTTGTGCAGCCCAAAGATTTCTTAAAACAAAGATTTATTTGTTAAAAACAAGGCCTGTCACAGTGGCTCATGACTGTAATCGCAGCACTTTGGGAGGCCGAGGCAGGCGGATCACCTGAAGTCAGGAGTTTGAGACCAGCCTGGCCAACATGGCGAAACCTCGTCTCTACCAAAAATGCAAAAATGCCAAGTGTGGTGGCACGTGCCTGTCATCCCAGCTACCCTGGAGGCTGAGGCGGGAGAATCATTTGAACCCGGGAGGTGGAAGTTGTAGTGAGCTGAAATCACGCCACTGCACAACAGCCTGGGTGACAGAGTGAAACTCTTGTCTCAAAAAACAACAACAATAACACAGACAACAACAACAAAAAGACAAAAATGTAAAAATGTGTTAAATTAAACTTATTCCAAATTAAACATGTATCATCCTCACAATTTACTGCTAAGAAAATGAAAAGACAATCCATCCCCTGGGAGAAAATATTTGCAAACTGAAAGAATTCATTGGCAGCAGATTTTGACTTCAGGAGATGTTAAAGGAAAATTCTTCAGGCAGATGTCAGATGGAAAAGATCTACATAAAGGAGTATCTACTTTTGGTGCTGCCTGCCCAGCCTCATGTAATTTCTCCTTATACATATGCAAATTAATATGCAGCCCAATATTCTTAAGGGAACCCCTTTGCAGATTTCTGGATCTCTCTCTCTCTCACTCTCTCTCTCTCCTTCTCAGCTCCCTCCTGTTTTTTTCTCTGTCCAGAATTTCAGCTACCTTCTTTTCCTCATATGCTGGTCTCTGCCTCCTCGATTCAGTGAGATCTCTGGGCTCTCTTTACATTTTTCCTTCCTGTACTAAAACTTGTAAGCACCTCCTAGCTGTAAGCTCCTACAGTGGTTGGACTCATTTTGTTTCCCTTCTCTCAGAGATCATAATGCTTCATTGCCTATTTTCCAGTGTTTGAAAAGTTATATATCAGATATTTTATATAGTCCCTGTTACTTCAGTTGGTCAGAAGGAGAAGATGGATTCACTGCATTTTATGATCAGATTGAGACATAAAATTTCTCGAACATCAAACATATTTTTACCTCTGGCCTTCCAACTAGGTAATTATTTTTAAAAATTAAATTTGATTTCAGGATTAAAACATGTTTTAAAATTACACGTTAATTGTGCATTTTTCAAATTTTCCGTCACTCATGTTCTCTCCAATTCTAAATATAAACATAACTTTGACCAAATATGCAATAAATTCAAACATTAAAAATACTCTTCACATCTTTTAAATACTTCATACATTAAAACATTTTCAATGAGTTCCATAAATGAATCCCTGGCATACCAATTATGTACAAAATCCAGAACGTGCTTACACTCTACATGCAGTGTATAAAGATCTATCTCTAACATGCTTAATGTGCTAACTATAGAATATGTAAAATTAAAACTATTTTGGTTGTGACCTTACTACATAGAAGGACTTTGGAGAGCAGAGTTTGAAAGCTCCTTAGAAAACTCATCTTGTGCCAATTGAACTTACTCTTTTTTCTCCTCTGAGAATATTTGTCTATAAAAGCAAAGACCTTCATAATTATTTTACTGATTTACAATTGCTTTAATGCAGTATTAAATGTTCAATTTATTTTTCATAAATATGGATGAATACAATAGTATTTCCTCCCACTAAAAGTGAATTTTCAAAAATAAAAGCTTAGTACCTCATCTCCTCTTCACCTTATCCCCTCTCCTAAGTTCACCCAACAGTTAGCTTAGTGTAAATTCAATAAAGACCACTTGAAAAATAATAATTGCCAGCTTTTAAAAGACTTCAAAGTTAATTTCTCAAGTTATAATGAAACCATTAGAAAATTAATTGGAAAAAATAATAATTACCATTTATAGAGAAGGTAATTTGTGTAAGACCCTGTGATGTAGTGCGCTATAAACACTTTCCCATTTAATCTTCTTTTTCATATCTATGAGTAGGTATCCTCAAATTTCAAAAGGAAACTAAAATTCAAAGAAAAGTTAACGTAAGTCACATTGGTCACATAGCTACTAAGTTTTCAAGATGGAAAAGCTTTTGCTTCCATTGTAACAATATAACAACAAAATTCTATTAAATTGCTAAAAAAAAAGACTTTTTATAATTTTGGTGTTCCCTTCAGTAGCCACAAATTACATCAACTTTCTATATACTTAAACATAGATATTCTTATGTAAAGTTCAAAATAACACTGAAATATTACATACACCTAATGTGTGTGTTACACATTCATATTCCCTGCAAATATGTATGAACATTTTGTAAGACACACGTAAAGAAAAGTTAAGTCACAGAAATTATCCCAGGTTTCATAGGAGTTAATATTGTAAAATAACTGGCACTTTATGCAGTATAAATGTAGTCTGCAAATAATGTAAATGCTTTTAGTTGGCATGTTTGCGTGGTTCTTTATATATGCTAATGATAAGTGCAAATGTGGATGTCTAAGATGATTTTTGCATGTGATTAAGACAAAATGCCTTTAGGGAAGATTCTGCATCACTAGATATGAGGGCATGAAATAAATTCCTTTTCTTTCTTAGCTATTCAAAAGTTGCTTCTATACTCATAGCACTCATCACATATATTTACCTTTTACTTGGTCTTTAAAATGAAATTGTCTTGTTCCTTCACTTGAAAGACAACAGTACTCAACCAGGACCTCAAAGCTAGGTGTTTTTGTTTGTTTGCTTTGAATATCCAATATTATATTGCTCACAATTACTCATGAAAAGTGTTTGATAATTACTTGCTTCAAAATAGATGACTGCACAATATAGATAATTCCTGGAACTTTATGCCTCCCTCTGCATATTAATTGATTCTCTCTCCCGTATACATATTTGTAGGAACATACTCACAAGCATGAATTCATGCATGGAACCAATTTTCAAGTCAAAATAACTAAAAATGTTTATACCATATTAAAAATGCTCATTATTTGTTAGTAAATTTTAAAAATTTCATGCCAACCTTGTAGTTTGTTATTTCAGCTTTAATTGTGATAACCCATCTGCCCATAAGATACAAAATACAATGATTATTTGGTATAAAAATATGTTGATGAATGTAAAAACCTCTTAACCATATATTTTCCAGTTTGGAAGAAAGTTTAAAATTTATGTTTGCTAAGCTTAGTGCTAGAATCATGTATGGGGTTGACAATTTTTCTACAATTATCTTTGGTCATATTCAAAATTTCTCAAAATTTTCAGCTTTACAGATTTACTTGATACTGTCAGTAAATGCAAAAGCTCATCTCACTGATTTCATATATAACTTTCTATTCAACAAGTGAGTTTAATCATCCATATTGCATTAATAGTGACCAAACACAGACACAGGACACAACAGAACTTGGGGCACATGTTCATTTAAAATACAGATCATTAATCTGGTTTGTGAGTTCTAGTCAACACACTCAATAAATATGCCAGCCCTTTATTTATTTCCAGCATGAAAAAATCTGCAACTAATATAAAAGCCCTGTGCCAATTCTTTCATTTTTTTTTTTTACTATTATAATTGGGCTGCAAAATAGACCACCTTGAAAGCAGCAAAGGTCAACAACTATTTTTGTAACTATTTTCAAACATTATTTCGAGGCAGTGCTCCTTATTTGTATAGCACATTTGTGGGTAATATGGCAGGAGAGAGTTGAGCACCAAGAGACTGCTATTGTTACTTCTCCTCTTCTATTAAGTAGCTACTAACGGCCTTTTAAAATTAAAACTTCTATTTACCATGAGGTCTCTATTATACACTCAAGAGACTAAATTTAAGAGACCTTCATCCCACAGTTTGATTTTTATTCATTTCTCTGGAACTCCTTTAATATTGATTATGTGAAAGATCTTAATATAATATAGAGTTAGCACAGCTCTCCAACTGGACTCATACTTCTTACTTTCAATCTTGAATCTTGCTTCTCTTCAGGGACACATATTTCAGCTCTTTTCTTTGGAAGAAGATTTCCATAAAAAGTCCTCTGGGTAAAATATTTTCCAGTTCCCTTTTTCTCTCGTTTCCTCCCCATTAATGATGTGTCATGTTTCACATAAATAGCATGGAATTATTTGCATTCAATAATCACAAAAATAACTTACACTTTATCTAGACTCACTTTATTGATGAAGCAAGTTTTATAAAATGTTATCTTGATCCTCAGTTAATACAGTACATTTCTCCTAGGAACTCCCAAAATGCTTACCAGGGTTTATATTCTTCTTGCCTTTAATACTGGATATTTTCTTCATACATTCTTTTCATAAATATTTGTGGATATACCAAGTGTCTACTGCTTATCTATTGATACTGTTTTCACACTTAAGAGAAATCAGTGGAAAAAAAATGTAGGTACGTTTCTGCTCTCATGGAAGTAAAAACTATGTGTTTCATATTAAGTTGATGAATACTAATAAAAAAACACAGGTAGAGTATATTGGCAATGCTAGTGGTGTGGTTAAAATTTTTAAAAGGTTGATTGTAATGGGCTTCACTGAATTGGTGACATATGAGTGAAGATTGAAGGAGGGAAAAGAGATACGTGAATATCAGGCAAAGGAAACAGTCAGTGCAAAGGCCCTGAGGCAAGAGAGGACATTTGAATATTGGAGGCAAGTCTAGTTGGAAGAGTGAAGACAGGGAGAGATCGTGGAAGAGTCAAATCTTCTAGAGCCTTGGAGGTCACTGTGATGACTTCGATTTTTCATCTGGCACAGCATTGGTGTATTCCAAATTGATATGACTTAGATTTTGAAAGGATTTCTCTTGCTAATGTTTGGAGAAGAGACCGTGTGGGGAAAAGGATTAAAACAAGGAGACGTTTGTAATGATCCAGGTAAAAGATTAAAGTAGCTTGACTTGGAGTGAGTGGTAGAAGATGAGATGAGAGGCCGTCTCCAGATTTCTGATGCATGTTTGAGGTCTCATCAAAGGGCTACCTGAAGAAGGAAATGGGATTACTGAAGAAAAGAAAGAACTGAAAGAGGACACCAAGGCTTTTTCTGAATAACAAAGGATGGAAAGCTGAGGTCAGAAAGACAAGAAGAGCAGTTTCAGAGAGAAGGGAATATCAGGAGCTTCAAACATAGTAAGTGTACCTAAGACAGCCGTGCTAAGATGTGGAGCACACAGCCCAGTATGAGTTTGGAGTTCAGAAGAAAAGGTTCAATAAAGAAAGTGGGGCCAGGCGCAGTGGCTCACGCCTGTAATCCCAGCACTTTGGGAGGCCGAGGCAGGTGGATCATGAGGTCAGGTGTTCGAGACCAGGTTGACAAACATGGTGAAACCCCGGCTCTACTAAAAATACAAAAATTAGCTGGGTGTGGTGGTGCGCACCTGTAATCCCAGCTACTCAGGAGGCTGAGGCAGGAGAATCGCTTGAACCCAGGAGGCGGAGGTTGCAGTGAACTGAGATCGCACCAGTGCACTCCAGCCTGGGCAATGAGAGCAAAACTCCGTCTCAAAAAAAAAAAATGTGGAATTTATTTAACTCGTACAATATATTTAAAGACTTGAATACGCTCCAGAATGTCCACTTTAATATATAAATGTGTGTACACCTTTCAAAAGAACATATTTTCAAAATATTAAGAATCTACATACAAGCATACTTCAAAATATATTGCAAGTTTGCTTCCAGACCACTTCAATAAAATGAATATTTCAATAAAGTGAGTGACACAAGTGTCTGTTTTCCCAGTGCATATAAAAATCATGTTTACACTCTACTGAAGTCTATTAAATGTGCAATAGCATCATGCCTAAAAAACATCATATACACCTTAATTTTAAAATAATGAGTTGCTAGAAAATACTACTTATCATATGAGCTTTCAGCAAGTCATAATCTGTTTGCTGGTTGTGGGGGGGTCTTGCCTTAGTGTTGAAGGCTGCTGACTGATCAGGGTGGCATTTGCTGAGGTTCAGGGTAACTGTGGCAATTTCTTAAAACAAAATAACAATGAAGTTTGATGCATTGACTGACTTCTCCTTTCATGAAAAAAGATTTCTCTGTACCATTAGATGCTGTTCGATAGCACTTTACCCACAATAGAATGTCTTTCAAAATTGGAGTAAATTCTCTCAAAACCTACTTCTGCTTTATTAATTACATTTAGTATAATATTCTAAATTGTTTGTTGTCACTTAATCAGTGTTTACAGCATCTTTACCAGCAGTAGATTCCATCTCAGCAAACGACTTTTTCTTTCCTCAGTCATAACAAGTGACTCCTAATCTATTCAAGTTTTATCATGACATTGCAGCAATTCAGTCACATCTTCAGGCTCCACTTCTATTTCTAGTTCTGCCATTACCACCATATTTGCAGTTACTTTCTCCAGTGGCATCCTGAAGCCCTCAACATCATCTGTGAGGGTTGGAATCAACTTCTTCTAAACTCCTGTTTACATTGATATTTTGACCTCCTCCCATGAATCACAAATGTTCTTAATGACATCTAGAATTGTGAATTCTTTCCAGAAGGTGTTCAATTTACACTGCACATATTCATCAGAGGAATCACTGTCTATGGCAGCTACAGCCTTATATAATGTATTTCTTAAACAATATAACTTGAAAGTTGAAGTTACCCCTGATCCATGGGCTATAGATAAATGTGTTATCAGGCATGAAAATAACAGTAATTTATTTGCAGATTTCCATCAGAGCTCTTGGGTGACCAGGTGCATTGTCAATGAGCAATAGTGTTTTGAAAGGAATATTTTATCTGAGTAGTAGGCCTCAACAGTGGGCTTTAAATATTCAGTAACCCACACTATAAACAGATATGACATAATTCAGGCTTTGTTGTTCCAGAGCATAGGCAGAGTAGATTTAGTGTAATTCTTAAGAACCCTGGGAATTTCAAGATGATAAATGAGCATGGGCTTCAGCTGAAAGTCACCAGCTGCATTAGTCTCTAGCAGGAGAGTCAGCCTGTCCTTTGAAGCTTTGAAGCCAGGCATTGATTTCTCTCTAGCTATAAAAGTCCTAGATGGCATCTTTTTACAATAGAAGGCCCTTTCACATACATTGAAAATCTGTTCTTTAGAGTAGCCACCTTCATCAAAGATCTTAGCTTGATCTTCTGGATAGCTTGTTGCAGCTTCTCCATCAGCACTTGCTGCTTTGCCTTGCACTTTTTTGTTATGGAGACAGCTTCTTTCCTTAAACCTCATGAAACAGCCTCTGCTACCTTCAAAATTCCCTTCTGCAGCTTTCTCACCTCTCTCAGCCTTCATAGAATGGAAGAGAGTTAGGGCTTTGCTCTGGACCGGACTTTGACTGAAAGGAACGTTGCCGCTGGCTTGATCATCTACTCAGACCACTAAACCTTTCTTCATATCAGCCATAAGGCTATTTTCCTTTCTTATCATTTGTGTGTTCAATGGAGTAGCACTTAATTACCTTCAAGAACTTCTCCTTTACATTCACAACTTGGCTAACTGGCATGAGAGGCCTAGCTTTTAGCTTGTCTCAGCTTTGAATATGCCTTTCTCACTAAGCTTAATCATCTAGCTTTTGACTTAAAATGAGAGATATGCAAATCTTCCTTTTGCTTGAATGCTTAGAGGCCATTATAAGGTTATTATTAGGCTTAACTTTAATGTCACTGTAGCTGAGGAAATAGGGAGGCCCAAAGACAAGGAGAGAAATGGGAAAATTTCTAGGTGGTGGAGCAGTCAAAACACACATGTTTATAAGTTTGCCGTCTTTTATGGGCATGGTTCGTGGTGCCCTAAAACAACATAGCAGATGTAATAATATGAAAAATGTATAACATTATGATATAATAATATAAAATATAACATATATAATAATGGAAAGGTTTGAAATATTCAAGAGTTACCAAAATGTGACACAGAGACCCAAAGTCAGCACATGCTTTGGAAAAATGATGTCAATAGACTTGTTCCATGCAAGGTTGTCACAGACTTACCAATTGTAAGAAATGAAGTATGTACAAAGTATAATCAAGCAAAGTAAAATCAAACGATGTATGCCTGTAATTTAAAATTTTTCAATATTAAAAATTTATTTTTCTAAAATAAAAATTATGTTGAAAATTTTAAAAAGTCAATACAACACAAATAAAATATTCCATAATCAAGACTATTTTAGATCTATAATCTAAAAAGCACAGAGATTCCAACTCCAATATTTGGTATAATCTAGAACTAGAACCTTACCTACTATCTCTATGTGTCTAGTTATCAATCTCTACATTGATATAAATAATCACCTTGCATGAGTTATATTTCATCCTATTTATGAGCACTTAACTCACTTTGCTAATTTTTTTTGTCAAGTTATTGTTGAGTCTTCCACAGTTGCCAGTGATGGAGTAGTCTAAGTTAATTTAAACTACCTTAAACAAAACTTACATGTAACTAGAAAATATATGGGGACAGTAATTTTAGGTGTGTTAGAATCCAGGGATTCAGGGGAAAATGGCAGGACTCATTTTATCTTTTAGTCTCAGTTCTGATGACTTGTGTATTTTTTCATTCTTCAGAGTTGTAGGGAAGATGAATAGTGGCAGAGATATCTATCTTCTTAGTTTAACAGCCTGGTTGGAAGAGAGCAGTTTTCCTTGGAAAGGGATGTTTAAGTTGATGTAGGTTAAATTAGTTTCCCATCTTTGAAGCAAATGTCATGGGCAGAGGAGTGGGCATTCTGACTGGCCACACCCTCTTCACTTCCCTCCCTACTTTTTTCAGCAGACATAACCCAGTTTTATTTCCTCCACTAGTCAATTATAAAAATATTTTAAATCATTTTGGCTCTATGTTATCTAATTCATTTATCACGTTTTTGTAGTATAAAAATTTTCAAGTATCCAAAATTTGAGGGGAAAGAAAAACTCTTCAATATACCAGTCAGCTTCCAAGAGCTTACTTTTGTCTTACTTTTTTATCTTTCAAATTTTGGTAGTATTTTTTACAACAAATAATAGGTATCACGTCATTTCACCTTTAAATATTTCAGTATCAAAAACACAAAAAGGATGTTTTCTAAATAACTAAAATCTATTTTCGTAGTCATTGACGCATCACCTTTATATCACCAAATACCCATATTAAAGTTACTTTTTGAAATATGTTTTTCAAATCAAAATCTAATCAAGGCACATTTACTGTAATTGATTTGTTTTTGAAGATCAATGAAATCTATCTATCTATCTATATGGGAGTTTATTAAGTATTAACTTACATGATCACAAGGTCCCACAATAGGCTGTCAGCAAGCTTGAGGAGCAAGGAGAGCCAGTCTGAATCTCAAAACTGAAGAACTTGGAGCTCGATGTTTGAGGGAAGGAAGCATCCAGCATGGGAGAAAGATGTAGGCTGGGAGGCGAGGCCCGTCTCACCTCTTCACATTTTTCTGCCTGCTTTATATTCGCTGGCAGCTGATTAGATTGTGCCCACTAGACTACGGGTGGATCTGCCTTCCCCAGCCCACTGACTCAAATGTTAATCTCCTTTGGCAACACCCTCACAGACACACCCAGGACCAATACTTTGCATCCTTCAATCCAATCAAGTTGACACTCAGTATTAACCATCACAAGTGCACCCCTTGTCAGCTTGAACCCATACACATCACCTAAGATCACACATAATCTGCAAATAAAGACAATAATAAGATCATAATTATGCCTAACATAATACAACTATCCTTCATTCAACTGGAAATTCACCAATCACCAACCCAAATGCTATTACATAAAGTTAACAATACTTAAATGCTGATGTGAAGTTAATAAATCTTATGTCACATGATAAAGGAAAACAAAATAAAATGAAGATATTTTCTCAGTACAAGCGTATACATGCACAAACATGTTTTTAACAAAAGAAGGAGGAACTACTCATGACAGTTACAGTCCTTGTTTCTGCAGCAGGTCACGTGGTTGTAGCTGGTCTCAATGACTACCTTCTTCTACTACCCGTTCTCTATTCCCTTTGCCTTCAGCAAGCACCTCAGCAAGTCGAGTGTTTTTGTTTTTTTTTTTGTTTTTTGTTGTTTTCCTAGTGGAGTGACCCAAACCTTCGTTCCTGAGGGATCTGGACTGTTTATAGTACTAGCTGGATTGGGCTATTGTAGTTTCTCATTGATCTTAATCACAGGGCATGGTAATACTAAGAGATGCCCTAGTGGATCTCCTGTATTTAATGCATACTCTTCCTTACATCCTTTATGGCATAGTAGACTGATTTCATCTTGAAAGTCTGGGTCAATCACCTCAGACAATACTGTAACTCTCTTCTTAGCCTGTTGACTTAAAGGTAGGAGGAGCCCAAAGTGTCCAGGTAGCAATCTTAACTTCCAGTTTAATGGAATCATTGTTGTGTTTCTTGGTAGCCGCATTCCTCCCTCTGGAACTAAGACCTCTAGGCCAGCAGAACATAATGTTGCAGGAACAGGAAGCAAAAACTTTGCTAGTGGATCACTAGGGGTGATGGTGAGAGGTGCCACTTCTCCTTCTGCACCTTGATTCCTAGACCCGTGAATCCTGGCTATGGGAGAAAGAGTACCATATATTGGACACTGATTCATAGTATGCACTGCCTTCTGGAGAACTTTGCCCCAGCCCGGCAAAGCTTTGTCACCTAGTTGACATTGTGATTGTGACTTCAAAAGGCCATTCCACCGTTCTATCAATCCAGCTGCTTCAGGATGATGGGGAACATGATAAGACCAGTGAATTCCATAAGCATGGGTGCACTGCTGCACTTTTTTTAGCCGTAAAGTGAGTGCCTTGGTCAGGGGCAATGCTGTGTGGAATACCATGATGGTGGATAAGCCATTCCATGAGTCCACAGATGGTAGTCTTGGCAGAAGCATTGCATACAGGTTAGGCAAACCCACAGCCAGAGTAAGTGTCTGTTCCAGTGAGGACAGACCTCTGCCCTTTCCATGATGGAAGAAGTCCCATATAACCAACCTGCCACCAGGTAGCTGGCTGATCACCCCGAGGAATGGTGCCATATTGAGGGCTCAGTGTTGGTCTCTGCTGCTGGCAAATTGGGCACGCAACCATGGCCATAGCCAGGTCAGCCTTGGTGAGTGGCAGTCCATGTTGCTGATCCCATGCATAACCTCCATCCCTGCTACCATGAGGCCATCTTGCTGTGTTCTCACATGGCCTTGGTTCTAGACTCAATCAAAGACAGAAAGAGAACAAGAGCTGTCTGGTGTCTCTGCCTCTTCTTATAAAGACATCAGTCCTATTTAATCAGGGCCCCACCCTTGTGACCTCATTTAACCTTAATTACCTTCTTAAAGGCCCTATCACCGAATACTGTCACACTGGGGGCTAGGGCTTCAACATACACATTTTGGGAGGGTACACAGTTTTGTCTATACCACTATTCAAAGTACACCAGCAGAAGAAATCAAGCATGAACCAGGATACTGAGGGTGGATCTAAGCCAATTTTCAAACATGAAGGTAGTTAACAGACGAGGTAGCTGGATCTGTAGTAGGAAGGACTGCAATGTTGTAGTAAGTAAACATGGAAGTTTCCCCCAAATAACCAATAGCTATTTCCTTTACACTGAAAAAGAAGAATGTTATGTTGGACACATGGTCTGAGTTGATGACTGTTAACCATTGCAAACTCACTTCATGATAACTTCAGGCACAACTACTGTGCCAGATCTGACATCTTTGCTGTGTAGTTTATTTGGCCTCAGATAAGCAGTATACAGCCATTTAGTTGGCAAATACATTTTTTCTATGCCAATTATAAAAGAGGATTTGGACTCTCATGTACAAGGAACAGACCACAATTCATAAGTTTTACCACAGGGCTATGGTGATTCTCCGCAGATTTTGAAACTACTTTTTTTCAGAGATAGATCTTCCTGTTTGGGGTTTCCTTATCTTTATTACTAGTTTGTTTGTTTTAATGAATGTGGGTTTTGTTTCTTTTGTTCTATGAAGTTAACAGCTAACTGTGTGGACTGTGTCCAGGAAAGGCAGGGCATGCACTCCTCCTTATGGAGATTCCTATGGAATTCCAGTGTCCTGCCAAACACCTCACTGCCACTTCCCTTCTCCTAAGCAATCCTAACATAGCAAAGACCTCTGTGACAGGGCTTCATATCTGTTTCCTGCTAAGGCACTCTATGTCCAGAACCCAGCTAAGGCGCTCTGTATCTAGGATCCGCTGAGGTGCTCTATATCTAGAATACCACTCAGGCGCTGTGTATCTGGGATTCGCTGAGGGGCTCTGTATCGAGAATCCCGCTGAGCCGCTCTGTATCTAGGATCCCGCTGAGGCGCTCTCCAACCAGGATCCCGCTGAGGCGCTCTGTGTGTAGGACCCCGCTGAGGCGCTCTCCAACCAGGATCCCGCTGAGGCGCTCTGTGTGTAGGACCAGGCTGAGGCGCTCTGTGTCTAGAATCCCACTCAGGCGCTCTGCATCTAGAATCCCGCTGAGGCGCTCCACAACCAGGATCCCGCTGAGGGACTCTGCATCTAGGAACCCACTGACGGGCTCTGCATCTAGGATCCGCTGAGGCGCTCTGTGTGTAGGACCCCGCTGAGGCGCTCTCCAACCAGGATCCCGCTGAGGCGCTCTGTGTGTAGGACCCCGCTGAGGCGCTCTCCAACCAGGATCCCGCTGAGGCGCTCTGTGTGTAGGACCCCGCTGAGGCGCTCTCCAACCAGGATCCCGCTGAGGCGCTCTGTGTGTAGGACCAGGCTGAGGCGCTCTGTGTCTAGAATCCCACTCAGGCGCTCTGCATCTAGAATCCCGCTGAGGCGCTCCACAACCAGGATCCCGCTGAGGGACTCTGCATCTAGGAACCCACTGATGGGCTCTGCATCTAGGATCCGCTGAGGCGCTCTGTGTGTAGGACCCCGCTGAGGCGCTCTGTGTCTAGGACCCCGCTGAGGCGCTCTGTGTCTAGGACCCCGCTGAGGCGCTCTGTGTGTAGGACCCCGCTGAGGCGCTCTGTGTGTAGGATCCCGCTGAGGTGCTCTGTGTCTAGGACTCCTTTGAGGCGCTCTGTGTCTAGGACCCCGCTGGGGCGCTCTGTGTGTAGGATCCCGCTGGGGCGCTCTGTGTGTAGGATCCCGCTGAGGCGCTCTGTGTGTAGGATCCCGCTGAGGCGGTCTGTGTGTCGGATCCCGCTGGGGCGCTCTGTGTGTAGGATCCCGCTGAGGCGCTCTGTGTGTAGGATCCCGCTGGGGCGCTCTGTGTGTAGGATCCCGCTGGGGCGCTCTGTGTGTAGGATCCCGCTGGGGCGCTCTGTGTGTAGGATCCCGCTGGGGCGCTCTATTATCTACGACTTCGCTGAGGCGCTCTGTGTCTGGGATCCCACTGAGGAGCTCTTTATCTAGAATCCGGCTTGGCATTCTGTGTCTAGAATCCTGCTGAGGCGCTCTGTGTCTGGAATACCGCTGAGATGCTCTGTGTCTAGAATCCCGCTGAGGTGCTCTGTATCTAGGATCCGCTGAGGCGCTCCGTGTCTAGGATCTGCTGAGACCCTCTGCATCTAGAATCCCACTCAGGCGCTCTGTATCTAGAATCCCAATGAGGTGCTCTGTATCTAGAATCCGGCTTGGAACTCTGTGTCTAGGATCCAGCTTCCACTTTCTGCTTCTTTTATTGCCAGTCCTCTACTTCCCTTCCTCCATAAATATGTTAAAAATCTCCTGTCCTTTTATTACCTCTTCCTTTTGCTGTTGTATATTTATAACTTTTAAATTATTTCCAGGATGTCATAACGAAGTGAAGATAATGTAAAATAGGTCTATATAACCAAAGGCTTTACCTTCCAATAATTGTTTGGCGTTGCATTGTTGAGTAGGTCTCCTAAAATTGGCATTTAATTAGGTACTGGTTTTCAATACAAGTAACAGTATTTCACATAACAAAGTGTTCTGTTAATTCATATTCATTATTAACTAATATGTTTATTCTTTTTGCCATTCTGTTTATTTTGCTTTCTTGCTTTCATTTTATTGTTTTAACTGTTCTTTGTTTTCTTGTCATCTTTTGAGTGTATAATTTTATTCCTTCATTTGCATCCAGTATTTTTGGCGATATATTAGGATTGTCAAGTTATATACCTATAACAATGTAACATTGTATTTATGCTATTTAAGAGTGAGATGTATTGTTTCTATCTTTTCTGTTCATTAATGTCAATAGTGACATTGTATATTTTTGAAGTTTTCCTTCATTGTTGTTATTTATTGTTGTTTTGGTTTTTGTTTGTGAGACAATGTCTCATTTTGTTAGTGGCTAGCGTGCAGTGGCACGATCACGGCTCACTGCAGTGGCGAACTCCCAACCTCAAACAATCCTCCCGCCTCAGCCTCCCAAACTGGGAATGCCGGCACATGCTGCCACACCTGGCTAATTTTTTTTTTTTTTTTTTTGGTAGAGACAAGTTACCACTATGTTGCCCAGGGTGGTCTAAAAATCCTAAGCTCAAGTGATGCTCCTTCATCAATCTCCCAAACTGCTGGGATTACAGATGTGACTCACCATGCCAGGCTTAAGTTTTCCATTTTGAAGAGGAGAAATGTACTGTATTTTGTTTCTTTCTTTTCAAGCATCCTGCAACATTGCCCTTGCCAATATCATTTGAAAATTCAAGATAAAATTTTTACAAATGGTAATTTTTACAATATCCTTTTTAAATTTTACCAGGAAGTTTTACTGTTTATATTTTGTATTAAAATATATTTTTATTTCAAACTTTTGTTTAATTTCAAGGGTACATGTGCAGGATGTGAAGGTTTATTACTTATATAAACATGTGCCATGGTGGTTTGTTGCACAGATCATCCCATCATCCAGGTATTAAGCCCAGCATCCATTAGCTAAAGTAGATTCTTCAGTAATTATTTATACTTAACATTTTTCTTAGGTGAACTCCGTGCTTATTACCATTTGCTTCACAGCCACTGTATCCTATCCTTCGACTTAAATTGTATTTTTTCTTATTAACTTTGAATCATAAACAGATACTTATAGAAAAGAAACTAACCTTGAATTGTGTTTGTACTGTCCTTGTTCAACTAAGAATTTTAGTTGCCTAAGAAAAAATACTGTTATTCCTAAAGAATTATGCAAAAGTTGGTATAATCTACATAAAAAGGTGCAAAGGAGAAATGTGAAGTAGGCTAGTTTGCATTCCTTCATAGGATCTTTATTGCTTTAGATTTTCATTATTTTTATTTGTTTGTTTTATATCTACTGGATGCCAGTAGGATTTTTACTTTCTCTCTGTAATTAAAAACAATTTGAGTGTGTTTCTCCTGACTGGAATTTTCTGGACATAGGAAGCCCTTTGAATCTGCATAGCTATGCAACTTTTAATTTTTTTTAAATTAAATATTGTCTCTTATTATTTATTCTACCCAATTAAGCCAATTTTTCTTCATAAAGAATAGTTTTGTTTTCTGATCTGCCCTTCTATTGATGATGCAGCTGTTCAAAATTGTCTTTCATATTGTTACATTTTCTTGCCTTTTTTAGTGCGTATTTTTACATCACTATAATTATTTTTATAGGGTAAGATTACTGCATACACACCTAAAAAATTAAGCACTACAGTAGTGTAAAATGTGAAATCTTTTCAATCTCCTCCCTTGTGTTAACAATTACTTTTTTAATATTTAAAGTTTGATATTCCATTTGTGATTATGAGTAGGCAGTCATGTGCATAAACATTTAATTATTGTATCATGTTCATATCTTCCTTAAAGGCCTCAGTATCACCCATATCCAAGGCCATTTGTCCCTCATCAAGTCCTGTTGTCTAACTTCTCCATGGTTTTTTGTGAGTGTTTGGGAAAATATGTAACTATTGCTGCATACTATGGAGGAAAATCTGAAAAAATATGTGAACATTATAAAATGCAATTGCCACTTTACCTGAAAATCTTATTGCTGAAAATTTCAACTAATGCCTCTATCAAAGTATAAAGATATTGATTGTAAACATACTGTAAAAAATAAGAAAACGACTGATATATTCACCAATAGTTCTTTTGTTATATAAATTATGATATAAACCATAATGAAATTATATTGCATTAATATTACCCCTGTATCCACTTAAAAAGAAATGTGTAACAAGGTACAGTTGATATAAAAGTACTCCGCTCAAACACACACACACACACGTGTAATTTTTTTAAAGTACCAAATAGTATGTAAAATAATTTACACACACACATTTAGATGTAGAAAAAGAGAGAATGAAGGCAAGAGACAGATGCTGTATGTGAGTTTGAAATAGGAGACAGTAGCTTTCACTGTTTTGTTAGCTTTCTGCCAGGTTTGCATTTTCTAATTTCATAAATAAATTACACTTATGCATGCTGGTATGTATGTATTTAATGACAAGAAGACTTATCCAGACACTAATATGATGTGGCATTTTCCTCTTACTACTTCTTCATATTAGAAAATTAATTGCTGTGGTTTCTAAGCTTATATAAATTACAAGTCCCAAAAATCCAATAACATTGCATTCTACAGTATATTTAATGTTGTTTGGAAACCAAAACTCAACATTTGT